>NC_000006.12:17938787-18090303 GCF_000001405.40 Homo sapiens
AAGTCTTTAAAATTTCACTGCCTTAGAGTGAATTTTTTTTTTTTTTTTTTTACCCAGCAACGAAAAAGTTGTGTTGTTATATAAGGAATGCACTAATTTTTATGTATTCATTCTACAAAACCAGTTCAATTTAGCCAACCAATCTCATGAAATTTTCTAGCCTTGCATGTCAAAAACCCCATGATGGTAAAGAGATGAGTCACTGAACTCTGATACATATGCAATAGTTATGTAAGCAAATTGGCACAAATTCCTTCAAGACCTCCATTATTTTCTCCAATTGAGTAAAAGTATAAACAGAAACAAATTTAAATCTCAGAAAAACTCTAAGGCACTTTAGGGCGCTTTCCGCCCTTTCCTCTTTCCTCCCCCTTTCCTTGTGCATCTGCTACATATTAACAACACTAAAACAACAGAAGACCTCTATAAACAACAATGCCTGCAAGGAATACATAAGACATTCTGGTGCATATTTCAGTAACAGATGTTTCAGTGCTACATCTGAAATCCAATATTCAGTACAGCAGTGATGATATACTTCATTGTAACACAACAGATAATTATAAGTTATACTGTTTTTATTGATAATAGCTCCTCAAGGCCATTCGAGTTTATTTTTCTTCAACAGTCTTGCTGTCACTGAACATAGTCTTCTTTGCTTTAGAGTCTGAGAATCTGACCATTCTGTCGGAGGCATTAGAACCAGAGTGATTCCTTCTTGAATGTAGCAAGGGCTGGGTAAAATAAGGCTGAGACCTACTGGTCTGTATTCCCAGGAGGTTAGGCATTCTAAGTCACAGGATGAGGTAGGCGGTCTGCACAAGGTACAGATCACACATACCTTGTTGATAAAACAGCATGAGGTAAAGAAGCGGCTAAAACCTACCAAAACCAAGATGGCAAGGAAAGTGACCCCTGGTCATCTTCACTGCTCATTATATGCTAATTATAATTCATTAGCAGGTTAAAAGATAGTCTCACCTGGCCGGGCGTAGTGGCTCACGCTTCTAATCCCAGCACTTTGGGAGGCGGAGGCGGGTGGATGACTAGGTCAGGAGATTGAGACCACGGTGAAACCCCGTCTCTACTAAAAATACAAAAAATTAGCTGGGCGTGGTGGCGGGCGCCTATAGTGCCAGCTACTCGGGAGGCTGAGGCAGGAGAATGGCGTGAACCTGGGAGGCGGAGCTTGCAGTGAGCCGAGATCGCGCCACTACACACTCCAGCCTGGGAGACAGAGCGAGACTCCGTCTCATAAATTAAAAAAAAAAAAAAAAAAGATAGTCTCACCCACCATGACAATTTACAAATGCCATGGCAACATCGGGAATTTACTCTATATGGAAGTTCCTTCCTTCCTTCCTTCCTTCTTTCCTTTCCTCCTCCTCCTCCTCCTTTTTCCTCCTCTTCCTCTTCTTCTTTTGGAACACTGTTTTGAAGGTACATCAGCACAATGCTTCTTAAACTTCAATATGTATACGGATGCTTCAGGAACACTATTAAGCGCAGATTCTTCGATTCTGTAAATCCGTGGTGGGTCCTGAGCTTCTGCATTTCTAATGAGCTCCCAGGGTGTGCTAATGCTGCTGATCCACAAGGGATTCGAGCATGCAAATTAAGTTATGGAGAAAGCATTACTGTTTAATTTTACATATGGTAGGAAAACGCTGTTAGTGAACCTACAGATGAAACCTAATTAGGGGTCAAAAATCAACCACAGATAGAGCATATTTTATCTTTCCAGTCATTGTTTCCTTCTTTCAAGAGGCAGCAGCAGAGTTAAGAGAGAATTCCCTGTTCCCCTTACCAGACCAGTGAAGAGTTTTCAGGAAGAGACCTCACAGGAGAGCTATATATAAAAGACAGCAGAAGGCAGGGCTTGAACTAATGGCTGCATAATTAGCTTGATATAAAAGAAGATTATTTGCATTTCAAGTGTTACACATTTTCCCCCATAACAAGAATTCCTGTAGTTAGAATTTTTTATGACAAACTTTTTAATTAGTTAGGACTTAACACATGTAAATTTATTTTTTTTTTTTTTTTTTTTTTTTTTGAGACAGAATTTGGCTCTGTTGCCCAGGCTGGAGTGCAATGGCGCAATCTCGGCTCACCACAACCTCTGCCTCCTGGGTTCAAGTGATTCTCTTGCCTCAGCCTCCCAAGTAGCTGGGATTACAGGCATGCACCATCATGCCTGGCTAATTTTGTATTTTTAGTAGAGACAGGGTTTCTCCATGTTGATCAGGCTGGTCTCGAACTCCTGACCTCAGGTGATCCGCCTGCCTGGGCCTCCCAAAGTGCTGGGATTACAGGCGTGAGCCATTGCACCTGGCCCAACATATGTAATTCTAAATCATCAAAGAAGCTTTAACTGGTATTTGAAGGGTAGAATCCATTCTGCTACCCAAATATATTACCCTCCTAAAACCCACTAAGAAGCTGCTGTCACCTGGATTTAAAATAGCCTGGTGCTATGAACTCTGCCCTAATTATATCAAAGAGTAAAGTCAAGGTTTTTCAAATCTCAAATCAAAATCAAAGATCTCAACCTTTGGGAGAAGCTCTAAATATCTAAAAGCATCTTAGCTATTGTTATGAATGGAATCATGTCCCCACACCCTAAATTTCCATATTGAAGCCTTAACCCTCAGTACCTCAGAATGCGACATCTGGAGATAGGAGCTTGAAAAAGGTTAAAGTTAAAATGATGTCATTACAATGGGACCTAATGCATTATGACTGGTGTCTTTATAAGCAAGGAAATCCGGACAGAGACACACAGAGAAGGAAGACAATGAGAAGACGCAGGGAGAAGACAGTCATCTACAAGCCAAGGAGAGAAGTCTCAGAGGAAACCAAACCTGCCCACACCTTGATCTCGGACTTCCAGCCTCCAGGGTAGTGAGAAAATATTCAACCTTCAACATGGGTACCCATGTTGAAGGCACCCAGTCTGTGGTACTATGCTATGGTAACCCTAGCAATACCAATACATTTGCTTTTTTTTTTTTTGGTTCCCAATTCACAGTAGATGTTCTAAAGAAAGTTCTGAACTTTCCTTCAGAAAAGGATGGGTTGTATATACTATTAATTATTAACGTTATTATTAGAGATACTTTGGGACATAGGAAAGTTTACGGTGAGTGTTAGAAGGCCTCACCACAGCTGTCAAATTAACTTGTTCTCTGAATACCCAATGCAAAATATTCTATATCAACATATATATTTCTGCTGGGTGTGGTGGCTCACACCTCTAATCCAAGCATTTTGGGAGGCTGAGGTGGAAACTGCTTCAGCGCCAAGAGTTCAAGACCAGCCTGGACAACATGGCAAAACCTCATCTCTATAAAAAAACACAAAAATTAGCCAGGCGTGGTGGCATACACCTATAGTCCCAGCTACTCGGGAGGCTGAGGTAGGAGGATTACTTGAGCCCAGGAAGTCCAGATTGCAGTGAACCATGATCATGCCACTGCACTCCAACCTGGGTGACACAGTGAGACCTGTCTTGAAGAAACAAAACACAACAAGAACAACAACAACAAATATATATATATATATATATATATTTCTGTTCATTGAAATTTAGACTTTGCCACACCAGAACAATCTGAAGCCTGCCTAGGTTTAAATTCTGGTGTTGTCATTGAATTAGCTGTATAATTTCCAAATTTCACTCCCTCCCATCTGCAAAATGGGTACCTACCTCATAAAGTTGCAGCAAGTATTAAATGAGATACATTTCATAACAGAAATACATTTCATAACAGACACTGGCTGACAGCTCTTCCAGCATATCTGGGTGCCTATCAGCCTTGGCTATTATATTTATCAAATATAGTCAAAGTCCTCCTCTCTTATAAACAGGCTTGGCTAGCTGGACAATGAGTTTAAAGAGTAGATTAGGCCGGGCGCAGTGGCTCACGCCTGTAATCTCAGCACTTTACGAGGCCAAGGCAGGTAGATACCCTGAGGTCAGGAGTTCGAGACCAGCCTGGCCAACATGGTGAAACCCCATCTCTACTAAAAATACAAAAATTAGCTGGGCGTGGTGTCAACACGCCTGTAATCCCAGCTACTCGGGAGGCTGAGGAAGGAGAACTGCTTGAGCCTGGGAGATGGAGGTTGCAGTGAGCCAAGATTGTGCCACTACACTCCAGGCTGGCCGACAGAGTGAGACTCTGTCTCAAAAAACAAAAACAAAAACAAAAACAAAAAACAAAAAAAAGAGTAGATTAAAGCAGAGAATCATAAAAATGGGTACTTATACCTTTAAACGTTTTTACATTAACTTAAAGTATTTAAAAGTTCGTTCATTCTGCAATCTTTAGACTGACACAAAGTACATTTCCTTGAGAATGGTCTGCTGAATGGAGTTCTGGTTGTTTTTCTATGTAAACTACACCATGATGCATTATGAATTTTCAATGTCTGTTTCTTTAAGGAGAATAAAGAACTGGTCACTGAAAAACAATCTGAGTATAGAAACCTCTTCTATTTTTATAATCCCTCTCTCTCCTGTGTTTAATTCGATGGCAGTATTTTTTAGAAAGTGATTCTCCAATGTTAGTAAGCTTCAGAATCACCTGGAAAGTTTGGTAAAACACAGATTTTTTTTTTTTTTTTTTTGTATTTTTAGTAGAGACAGGGTTTCACCATGTTGGCCAGCCTGGTCTCGAACTCCTGACCTCAGGTGATCCACCTGCCTCGGCCTCCCAAAGTGCTGGGATTACAGGTGTGAACCACCGCACCCAGCCAAGTTTCTGATATAACAGGTCTAGAGTGGAGGCTGAGAATGTGCATTTTTAACAGGTTTCAAGAGGACTCTGATGCTGCTGATCTGGGAAGCACATTTTGAGAATTCACTTTCACTGATTCTGTCTTCCACAGAAAGCACATTTTTTCTGTTCATATAATATCAATTTACATAATAACTAAACTCTATAAAGCCAAATACTACTGGTTTTGGTAATTTACAACTCAACGGGGAGGCGTGGAAGTGCGTGGCATGCAACTGGGATGTCCATGGTCAACGAACCCACCCAGCATGAGCATCAGTTGACTTATGTCATAGAAGGAGTTGAGAACACCAGTTAATGCAGTGAACTGGTTAAATGGAGATCAGTTCAGAAAGCCTCAACCACATTAAGTTGATGCTTATAACTTTTCTGCATCTACCCAACACAAAGCAGAAAAGAATCATGAGCTAGAAGTATATGGTTTTCTAATAATTACACACTTGCTGAAGATTTTTCTCTTTATGTGGCATCTCCAACTCTACGTTATTATCTATACAGGGTAATCAATTTGGCTTTAATTTGTAGGTATAAAAATTCCCCATGGAGATCTGACATGTGAGCCTTACCGCCTTTACCGCTGACATCCTCTGAGAAATCACAAAGTAATTTGTGATTCAATGCTTTATGTAACTTGAACTTTCTTTCAAAACTTCACCCTGTTTTCTGAGGAGTTCCAGTTAATTGATCCATACACACTCAAGTTCTTATAGATGAAAACTCAGGACAGTGGAACACATTTCTGAGTGCCCTCCTGAGTTCAGTATGCCCCAAATCCATTTACACTCCATTAAATAACAAGCATATATGCTAGAACACAAGTTACCATTCCCTGACCCTGGGTTATCTAGCTGCACTAATAAACCAAGAAAAGATTAACCAATTGTGACAGCTTATCAAGACCTCCAGAAAAAGATTCAACTCCAATTGCACACACATGAACAGGAGGCCAAAGACAAAGTAGCTGGCCCCTCTTGTCCCACTCCTCCCCAAATTAACTCCCCCTGTCTAAACCACACAGGCACTGAGAGGCAGCAGAAGCCCAGGGCATAAAACAAAACAGAAACAAAAAACACGTAGAAATTCCAGCTCAATTTCACTTCCAAAATCTAAAGAAAATATTTCTATTTATTTATAAAATATATAACCCATTATCTTTGCGTCTGATTATTCTATGCTTGCTTCTCTTCTTGATCAAAAGAAATGAAAGATATAAACACCAATGGGGAAAAAAAACTATCATTAGCAAACAAAATTACTATCTATAAAGAAAAGCCAAGACAAAAAAAGATATCAGAATTAATGAGAATTTAACAAAGTTACTGCCTGTAAGTATATACTAAAGTCGACAGCATTTCTAAGCTACAAGAAAACAGAGAATGCAACTTAAAATGACCACTTCTAGGTTGGGCACAGTGGTTCACATCTGTAATTCCAGCACTTTGGGAGGCCAAGGTGGAAGGATCATCTGAGCTCAGCAGTTTGAGACCAGTCTGGGCAACACGGCAAGATCCTGTCTCTATTTAAAAAATTAAAAGTATTTTAAAAATGTTAAAAGTGACTACTTTTGGTATATTTATGCAATTGAATACCATACAGCAATAAGAATGAACAATCTGGAACTACAACTAGATGATCACAAAAATAACACTGAACGAAAGAAGCTAGATACAGAAGAGCACATACTGTATGATTCCATTTATGTAAGGTGCCAAAATAGGCTAAACTGACTCATGATTTTAAAAGTCAGGACAGTGGCAGCCCTTGGGGATGTTAGTAACAGGAAAGAAACAAGAGGATTGTTTCTAGGGAGCTGCTAATGTTATTTTTTGATCTAGGTCCGGAGTTTAACTTGAAAATTCAGCATACATACAGAAAAAAATGCATGCATCATATTATACTTCAATTAAAAAAATTAAAATACCACTTGTGATAGAAAAAAAAATTTTAAGTACCCAGATACAAATCTAACAAAAAAGATGCAAAAACCTTAAAGATGTTTTTATGTAAAATTTTTATTGCTAAAGAAGAACTAAATAAACAGATATACCATGTTTTCAAATTAGAAAATCCAACACTGTAAAGATGCCAATTCTTTTCACATTGAACTATGTGTCCAGTGCAATCCCAAAATAGTTTTTAATGGCATCTATAAGAATGACCAAGCCACCCCTATAGCAGAACACAATGAAGAAACTGGTCCTACAGTTATCAGTACTGCAGTGTGGCACTGCCTCAGAGACAGACAAACAGAACACCGAAACAGAAGAGACGGCCCTGAAAATGATCCTCAGTTATCTGGAAACCTAGTCTGATAGAACCAGTATCAAAGATCAGGCTGGACTATTCAATAAATAGTGCCAGGATAATAGGTTATCTTGATGGGGCGAAATTAATCTCTACTTCATACTGTTTAAAAAAATAAATTTCAAGGATTTAAATGTGAATTGTAAAGCTTAAGACTTTTAGAAGGTATAAGAGAGTATTTGTATGCGCTTAGAGAAGAACTTTTAAAAACATGACACATACAGCATTAACCCTTTAAAAAAAATAGGGATGAAGTCTTGCTTTGTTGCCAAGGCTGATCTTGAACCCCTGGGCTCAAAGCGATCCTCCCACCTCAGCCTTCCAAAGTGCTGGGATTACAGGTATGAGCCACCACATTTAGCTGATAAAGCATCCATCTTAAAAGTAAAGGGTAAACTTCGCTATTTTAAAAATCAGAACTTCTAATAATCAGAAAATAAATAAAACCAAGCAAAAACAGAATCCACAAACTGGAAAAAGATTTTGCATATAACAAAAGATTAATATACACAATATATAAGTAACACCAAGGAATCAATTTTAAAAGGCCAAAAAAAAAACAAAAAAGAGAAAATGAGTAAAAAGAGAGCAGGTGCTTTTCAAAAGAAAACAAATGAATGGCCGATAAAATATATGAAAAGATGTTCCGTTGCACTTTTATGCAGGAAATGCAAATTAAAACCACAATAAAATATCATTTCACATGCTCTGCATCAGTAAAAATTTTAAACTCTGATAATATTAAGTACTGTCATTATCTTATACTACTAGTGATATTAACTACTTAGGAAATCAATTTTACATGCACATAGTAAAGTTTAACATGCACATATGCTATGATCCAGCAATCCAAATGTTCATAGCAGCACTGTTCATAAAAGCCCCAAACTGGAAACTACCCAAATGTCCATCAACAATGAAAGGATGAACTGTAGTATATTCATACAATGGAATACCATGCAACAGCAAAAGTGAATTCAGCTACGTGCATCAACACGGACAAATGAATCTCAAGAACAAAGTTGACTGTGCAGGCGGTTGCACAACTGTATATACATTTATCAAAGCTCATCGAAACTGTACACTTAAAATGGGTGAATTTTTATTATATGTAAATTATACCTCAATAAAGCTATTTTAAAAACAGATGAGCAAATAAAGTGTGACGAAAAGTTCAAAAAGTAGCATTCCATTTACAAAAATATTAAAACCAGGCAAATATAATATTAAAGTTGTTAAATTATAAAGAAAACTAAGGAAAATAAATATAAAATTCAGGATAGTCATTTCCTTTCACAGGTACAATGGGAAGGAGTGGAAATGGGAATAAGTGATATAAGAGACAAAAAAGTACAAGTTGGGTGGTGATACAAGGTACTTACATTTTTTTCTTAACTGTTGAAACCAAATATATAAGTTATATACTTCTTTATTATACATGCAATGAATTTTTTAAATAAAGCAAATTTAAATACTTCTATTTTTAAAAGATCAACATAAGGAGAATAAACTTATTTTAGCAAAATTTGATAATACCTAATAATTAAGGCTAGCTACTTTTCCTTTCAGCTTCCTTCTTAACTTCAAAAGTTCAAAACTTCGTTGCCTGTTAAATTTCCTGAATTTGGTAATAGTCTTAGAAAATACACCAAGAGCTGGGCGTGGTAGCTCACGCCTGTAATCCCAGCACTTTGGGAGGCCGAGGTGGGTGGATCACCTGAGGTCAGGAGTTTGAGACCAGCCGACCAGCCTGGGCAACACGGTGAAACCCTATCTCTACTAAAAATACAAAAAAAAATTAGCCAGGCATGGTGGCGGGTGCCTGTAATCCCAGCTACTCAAGAGGCTGAGGCAGGAGAATCACTTGAACCTAAGAAGTGGAGGTTGCAGTGAGCCGAGATTGCGCCATTGCGCTCCAGCCTGTGTGACAAGAGCAAAACTCTGCTCAAAAAAAAAAAGAAAGCACACCAAGTATTAAGGGCTAAAGGGCTGTATGATGTATTTCACCTACTCTCAAAGAGTTCAAAAAATAAATTATATTTTTTCCACAAATATTTGATAAGGCAAATGCAGCAAAGCTTTAAAATGTGTAAGTCTGCTATTCTTGCAACTTATTTTTTCAAAATTAAAATTGTGTTGTCCAAGGAGAGACTAGAAACTCAGCACAGGAAACATCATTTAATACTGAGAATATACTTTTAATGCCTCTATCCTACTTTTTTCTATTCTATTTTGTTTTTATTTTAATAAATCACATAACCGAGTTACTTGCTCTCCCTTGACTGGTCTCAGACTAAAAGATGCTGAAATAGCCAGACTGAAGGATCAGAACAGACTTGACTTGAAGAGATTCATTACCAAAGTGTCCTAGGCTAAAGTTAATTGTCACTGAGTAGTCGAGTGGTTTTACATGGCACCAAAAGTGGTGGCACTTTGGGAGAAGACTCTGTAGATGAACAAATTTCTGTTTTAAAAGAGCACAGTTTTCTTTGGAAAATAAAATACAGAGTCAAATTACTCCCAACTTCAGAAAAAATGACAGAAGTTAACTCACTCTCTTAACACTGTAGCTTTTCTAAAGCAAAATAAGTTATGCTACATGAACAGGGAAGAGAAACATTTTGGCTCCCAAATTTGACACAGTACCACATAACATCCATTTACTTTTTTTTTTTTTTTTTTTTTTTTGAGACAAGTCTCACTCTGTCGTCCAGGCTGGACTGCAGCAGCGTGATCTCGGCTCACTGGGACCTCTGCCTCCAGGTTCAAGCGATTCTCTGCATCAGCCTCCCGAGTAACTGGAATTACAGGCACCCACCACCATGCCCGGCTAATTTTTGTATTTTTTGTAGAGATGGGGTTTCACCATGTTGGCTGGGCTGGGCTGGTCTCAAACTCCTGACCTCAAATGATCCACCCGTTTCGGCCCCTCAAAGTGCTAAGATTACAAGCATGAGCCACCTCGCCTGGCCCAAACATCTTTTTTCCTTTTTTATACTGATAGTATAAACAGGTTATGCAATAGCGAGTGAGCATAAGCCCTTTGAAAGCAAAATCTACACTCTAATAAATACTTTTCGACTAACAATAAACAGTCTTTTGCCTTTCTTACATTATATTCAATATGAATACACATGTCAAATGTACAATATACAACATGATCTAAAGAAAAATAAGATCAGATGAGAGGGGAATGTACACCATCTCAAAGGAGATGCTAAAACTCGCCGACCACTATACATCATAGCTCATTACAAATTTGCATTAGTCTCCTCTGGGTCAAAAAGGCACTTTTCATAGAAAAATTTATCGTGCCCTGGTTTGTCAAAATAAATCTTTTAGGAAAAAGTCGCCAGAGTGTACCATAGCTCAATGATAAGTTAATTACTAGTGGGACAAAGCATGTGACCAATGGCTTTGGAGAAGGCTCTGTTTAATATTTATTACAGTAACCACAAAAGCCCTCCTGCTATGAATTAAAGACACCATCAACATTTTAATTCTGGCTACTGAGTGATTAGAGAAATAGTAAGTAGCTGCTGATATATTTCAGCACTTTAATATAAACAACTGTGACTGTCTGGAGACCTTAACTGCATACAGGGTCTCTAAATGTATTTAGTTGTTAGTGCAGGTCTCTTAAGGGGTAAAGAGGAGACAGGAAAGGAAAAGAAAAACATACTTCTAAACAACATCACAAAATACACCTGTCACCAGTTCTTAATTTTCTAGAGTTTCAGAAGCCTTTGAAATTTTGATCAAAGACATGAAGTCTCACTCTTAGAAATTGTATATGCATACACACACTTTTACTTTTAATGTCAGGGGGTTCACTGCCTTCAGTTTAAATGTCCTGCACTACACAGTCATTATACTGCATATACAGTAATAAAAAAACAAGTGCCAACTCGAGTTTTTAAGCCTAAAGAATGACAAACTAAGAGGTCTTCTAAACAGAGTTAAGAGATAACAAATGCACTATTGGTGGTTTTAAAAGTAATAATTATAATGATTTTCACATTCATAAAACACACTGATTAACTAACATATTTCCTACAAAATGCAGTCACAAACTTACTTTAGCTAGCTCCCTTATTCCTAAACAAAGACTTGTACTGGGACAATTATTAATTACAACCAATTTACTGGGCACTCACAATGCAAGGGTCTGTTGAAAACAAAAACTACTGACCCAAATAGTTTTCCTAGGATATATAGTCTGTGGCATACTGCTCTAATTGTTTAACTTAATCCATGTTATTTTGTAAATCCTTGTTCAAATGTAAATTACATCTGGCAGAGTCTCAGAGTGTGAGTATCTGATTTTTCCTGTTGATCTCCATAAATACAAAATTACAAATCTCTGCTTCCTCATATATAAGTAAAAGAAGAGCTGAGAACAAGCTGATTCAGTTCAAACAAACCAGAAGGGATTTAAACAAATCTAAGCACAAACCTTATATATTTGGTTAGAGGAAAAGAAGATTAAAAATATAATGACTCACAGACATGTGCTTTCAGAAAATGATTTATTAATGGATTACCAAATAAAACTCTGTAATTATGAATTTCACTGGTCAAATTTACCTTCTTACACTCTTTAGGACCAACAGATAGAAGAACATGTACACAAACACACATTCCTTTCTTATACCCCATTTGTTGGATGAATGCCCCACAGGATTTTAACAAAAGCATTATTTATCCAACAGCTGAGCATCTTAACAAAATTAAAAAGCAATAACTATCTCTCAATCTGAGGAATTCAACTTTATGTGTCTAAGAGTCCTCAAATACACTTTTAATCATGCCTAAAAAACGAAATATATGACAAAAAATACTCAAAAGATACTTAGAAATAACCCTTATCCACCCAACTAGAAAAATCTCTAATTACTAAAGGACTTTTAAATCTTTCTTAATTTTGCATTTCTTAAAATAATTTCTCAAAAAATACAACACTATTGAACATAAATGATTAAATGTGTGGGATAATTAGAAACAACCGTATCCACCCACCCAGAGAAATCTCTAATTACTAAAGGACTTTTAAAACTTTCTTAATTTTAAATTTCTTAAAATAATTTCTCAAATGAATATAACACTATTGAACATAAATGACTAAATATATGGGCTATCACAAACCCACTTTAGTAGTACACCTAAGGACACCTAAGGAATTGTACTTATTATATATAACACTTTGCCAACCATCCATTTATTCATATGTGGGGTCTGATGCAATTCACCTCACGCCACTTTAATTTTTTATTTTTTTGAAGACAGGGTCTGGCTCTGTCACCCAGGCTGGCGTGCAGTGGCTCAAACAGCTCACTGGAGCCTCCTGCCTCAGTCTCCTGAGTAGCTGGGACCACAGGTATGCGCCACCACGTCCAGCTAATTTTAAACAAATTTTTTGTAGAGATGGGGTTTTGCCATGTTGCAAAGGCTGGTCTTGAAATCCTCGGCTCAAGTGATCCTCTTGCCTTGGCCTCCCAAAGTGCTGGAATTAGAGATGTGAGCCACTGTGACCAGCCTCAATTTAAAAAAAAAAAAAAAACAGCTTTAAGATATAATTTATATACCATACAATTTACCCACTAAAAGTGTCCAATTCAGTGATTTTTAGCATATTCACAGAGTTATGTGGCTATCACCACAACTGCAGAACATTCTCAATACCCCCCTCAAAAAATGCCATATCCATCGGCAGTCACTCTCCATTTCCCCCAATTCCCCCAAGCCTAGGCAACCATTAATCTACTTTCTGTCTCCACGAATATGTCTGCTCTGGACATTTCACATCAATGGAATCATACAATACATGGTTCCTTATGACTGCTTATTTCACTTAATGTTATGTTTACAAAAAGTTCATCAATGTTATATATGGCATGTCACCACTTTAATCCATTTTATAAATTCCACTGTATGAATATATCACATATTCTTCATCAGTTGATGGACATTTGGTGACTCATTACAAAAATCTTTTTTCTTAAAAGAATTTTTTGTAGCCTTCCAAAAAATACCTTTATTTACAATTTTTGTAGAAGCAATTTGGCAATTTATATTTACAATTTAAATGCTCATAGTCTTTTCCTAATTTATATTAAGAAACTATAGTTTGCCGGGCGTGGTGGCTCACGCCTGTAATCTCAGCACTTTGGGAGGCCGAGGTGGGCAGATCATGAGGTCAGGAGATGGAGACCATGCTGGTTAACATGGTGAAACCCCGTCTCTACTAAAAATACAAAAAAATTAGCCAGGTATGGTGGCAGGCTTCTGTAGTCCCAGCTACTCGGGAGGCTGAGGCAGGAAGATGGCATGAACCCGGAAGGCAGAGCTTGCCATGAGCCGAGATAGCGCCACTGCACTCCAGCCTGGGTGACAGAGCGAGACTCCGTCTCAAAAAAAAAAAAAAAAAGAAAATATAATTTATATTAAGAAAATAATTGGCCAGGTGTGGTGGCTCATGCCTGTAAACCCAACACTGCGGGTGGCTGGGGTTGGGGGATCGCTTGAGGCCAGGAGTTTGAGACCAGGCTGGGCAACATGGCAAGATTCTGCCTCTACAAAAAATTTAAAAATTAGCAAGGCTTAGTAGTGTGCTCGCATCTGTGGTCTTAGCTACTCAGGAGGCTGAGGTCGGAGGATCCCTTGAGCCCAGGAGTTTGAGGCTACAGTGAGCTATGACCACACCACTCACTGCACTCCAGTCTGGGTGACAGGGAGAGACTCTGTAAGAAAAGAAAAGCCGGGCGTGGTGGCTCATGCCTGTAATCCCAGCACTTTGGGAGGCTGAGGCAGGCAGATCACGAGGTCAGGAGATTGAGACCATCCTGGCTAACACGGTGAAACACTGTCTCTACTAAAAATACAAAAAATTAGCCAGGTGTGGTGGTGGGCGCCTGTAGCCCCAGCTACTCAGGAGGCTGAGGCAGGAGAGTGGCGCGAACCCGGGAGGCAGAGCTTGCAGTGAGCCGAGATAGCGCCACTGCACTCCAGCCTGGGCGACAGAGCAAGACTGTCTCCAAAAAAAAAAAAAGAGAAGCGAAGCGAAGAGGGGAAGAGAGGAAGAGGAGAAGAAGAGAGGACCGGAGGGGAGAGATGGTTAACAGGGGTATAACAGGAATATATTAATGATGCTTTCTGGAGCACTGTTTACAGTGAAAAATTGGAAACACTCTAAATGTCCATCATTAGGGGATTAAGCAAAGAAATTATCATTCATCCATATAATATAATATAGCAATTAAAAAGAACGAGGTAGACACCCATCTATTAACATGGAAAGGAAGGCATTATTCTGTTAAGTTAAAAAAGCAGGTTAGAGAACAGTTCATATAGATGATATTATTTATGCAAAACATATGCATACATACATATACACGGGTACCTGAACACACACCCATATTCTCTCTTTCTCAAAGAATACACTCCAAACTTTTAGGAATGATTACTCTTAGACAGTAAAAGGGAAGAAAGGAGATTTTTTATTATTTCTCCTCTCTTAACCAGGAAGAAAAGCAGGGGAAAAAAAAAATCTTTAAAGCCCCAGATGTCATGTAATGGAAATTACAGAAATTCCTTGGGTTCTTTCTCTGCCTCCACCAAGTTCAGAGGCAGAGGCTTGGGTGCGCTGAAGATTCCCTATCACCAGTAAACCACCGGCATGGCCGAAGAAGGCACTGCTGCTGCTGGTGTCATGGATGTTAATACTGCTTTACATGAGGATGGCCTAGCACGTGGAATTCACAAAGCTGGCAACTTTAGACAAGCACCGAGCCCATCTTTGTGTGTTTGCACCCAACTACGATGAGCCTGTGTATATCAAGTTGGTGCAGGCCCTTTGCGCTGAATACCAAATCAACCTAATTAAGGCTGATGACGACAGGAGACTAGGGGAATAGGTAGGCTTCTGTAAAACTGACAAAGGAAAAACTCTGTAAAGTGGCTGGTTGCAATTGTGCAGTTGTGCTGTAGGACTATGGCAAAGAATCTCAGGTCAAGGATGTCACTGAAGAGTACTTCAAATGCAAGAAATGAACAAATAAAAAATTTTGCTCACATTCCTCAAAAAAAATTTTTTTTTCTTCGAAACAGATTTAAAACAATCCGATCGGTTGGGTGCGGTGGCTCACACCTGTAATCCCAGCACTTTGGGAGGCCGAGGCAGGCAGATCACGAGGTCAGGAGATGGAGACCATCCTGGCTATCACGGTGAAACCCTGTCCCTGCTAAAAATACCAAAAAAATTAGCCAGGTGTGGTGGCGGGCACCTGTAGTCCCAGCTACTCCGAAGGCTGAGGCAGGAGAATGGCGTGAACCTGGGAGGCGGGCTTGCTTGCAATGAGCCAAGGTGGCACCACTGCACTCCAGCCTGGGCAACAGAGCGAGACTCCATCTCAAAAAAAAAAAAAAAAAAAATCAGATCAGCATTTTTCTAACATCTAATAAACTCATATAGCTCAAGGACCACATCTTCCCCCTTTTAGGGAGTAGGTGATTGAAGGTTTTCACAAATCCCCTCATCCCTTAGACTAGCTGCTCAATAAATAACAGCTGACTAAATAAGCTACCAGTGTTACATTTTAAGTATAATACACAGCATAATTTAAAATATAATATTAGGCTTCTCTGGAAAAATTTTTCTTAGTTTTCATATTAATAACCTGATTTTACATTCTTTTCAATATTATATCTTCCTTTATAAGACATTTTCACAACCCAAAACTAAATTGTCTATTACATGCATTTTTACAAGGATTTTTTGTTATTGTTTATATTGTTGTTAGAGACAGGATCTCACTCTTCTTGACCAGGCTGGAGTGCAGTGTTGCGACCATAGCTCACTGTAGCCTCAAACTCATAGGCTCAAGGGATCCTCCCTCCTTAGCCTCCTGAGTAGCTGGGACCACAGGCACACAGCATCACACCTGGCTAATTAAGAAAAAAAATTTTTTTAAGAGACGGGGTCTTGCTATGTTGTCCAAGCTGGTCTCAAACTCCTGGCCTCAAGTAACCCTTCCACCTTGGCCTCCTAAAGCACTGGCATTACAGGTGTGTGCCACCACACCAGGCTCATTTAAAAAAACTTTTTTTGTAGAGATGGAATATCTCTCTACAAAAAATGCTGGTGCCCAGGTTGGTCTTGAATTCATGGGCTCAAGCGATCCTCCTGCCGCCACCTCCCAAAGTGCTGAGATTACAGATGTGAGCCACGGCACCTGGCCTACAAGTATTACTATACATGTCTTTACATTCAGAATCACTGAATATGAGAATTGATCTGGTCTAATCTCCTTGATGTACAAACGGACACTAGTTTCCACAGGTGTTAAAGTTACTCCAGATCCTTCTATTAGTAGCGAAGCCAGGACTAGAACCAAGAACCTGGGTTTCTACCTGTTTTGATTTAAATATAACAATAACAATAACAAACTCTATTCTACCAATTCAACACCCACTCTGCCTTCTTTCATTTGTGAAGTGCTCCCTTGAGTAACTGATAGGGCAAAGCTTCATGTAGACTTTTGCCACTTCACACCAATTTGGATATCTGACCAAACAAATTACCTATACAATAAGTAAAATCTTCCCTATAATTTCCACAAATATATTTGAAGAAGTGATTTTCTTGTGCCCATAAGACAATGTGCATTCACTATATTGGATGTAATACAAAAAGTAGCCATTTCTGGGTTTAAATTTGTCTTATTTAAGAACAGCAGTGCAACTAATCTTAATGATTTGGTTGTTTGGATGAGATAATATTGAAGACAAAGTCATGGTTTACTAAAGCAAAGAAACTGTATGCTAAGTCTATAAGATGGCAATTTCCTATTTTCTGTGACTCCTTTCAGAGTCTCAGGATAAGGCTGCACCAATTCAGTGTAGTTTGTTTCCATGCATTAACCTCTACAGGTAATTCATGCCAATTTGTGTTCACACATCTACATTTTTGCCTAAATACATGCAAATTTATGCATCCCATCAACCACTGTCTTTTATATTTAAAGATGATGACACTAATAGTGACTGTTATTCTTGTATACAGGTTTTCCTGAAAAGACTGCCATATTTTCCAGATCTTAAGCACAATTTTTAAAAAGTCTATTAACATTGCTTTAAATCTACAGTCAAGCATTTTGAGTGTGAACAGCAAGCAAAGCAACGGACTTAGGTTCACAGTGCCAGGCTCCGTTCTAAGGACTCATCAAGTGGTAGCTCATTTAACCTTACATCCGTAAGATGCAGGTATTATCATCCTCATTTACAAATGAGGAAGTTGAGGCATGGAGAGGACAGGTAACTCATCCAGGATCACACAGTAATAAGTGAAAAGGCTAGGATTTACTTTCAATCTGGCTCCAGAGTCTGTGCCTTTAACTACTGCTCTGTTATTAGACTCAACAATAGGTCCATTACAAAGAAGGTCCAGAAAAATCCAGCATGTGCACACTTTTTCAAAGACCATCAACCATGCAGCCAAGTGCCACCTGTTTGTGGTCCTCCCTGATTAGCAGTCTTGTCCATCATCTACTTTGTGCCTAGCACTGCAAAAGCAACCAAGATGGAAACAAACCCAATATGCAAGAGATTTACTATCTAGGTAGGGAGGCAAGTTATGCCTAAGCAGCAAAGGTGGTGTTAGGCTGTGATATTATGGTGATAGACATATATTGGTTTTTGTCCATGGTTCCTGGCTCATAACTCCCATACCCCTTGTTACAGTCCTTTGCTATAATGTTGGGGTGCTTTAGGTCTCAGGAGGAGGCCTCAGGGAATAGATTCTCTCTCGCCGACCTTCTCCTGTCCTCTAATCTGGCTGTGGGTCAAAAAAAAATCCTCATTCCAGAGAGGGTCCTGCTCTATACTCTGGAGGAAGAAATGCTGCATAGAGAGGCCAAGAAGGAACTAACACAGACAGGCCTTGCTGAGTTTCCCCACTCAGTCTACTAGTATGAGATCACAACCTTTCTGTTCAATCACATTTTTTTTTTTAGACGGAGTCTCACTCTGTAGCCTAGGCTGGAGTGCAGTGGTACAATCTTGGCTCACTGCAACCTTGCTTCCCAGGTTCAAGTGATTCTCCTGCCTCAGCCTCCCAAGTAGCTGGGATTGCAGGTACCCACCACCATGCCTGGCTAATTTCCTGTGTTTTTAGTAGAGACAGGGTTTCACCATGTTGGCCAGGCTGGTCTCGAACTCCTGACCTCAAGTGATCTGCCCGCCTTGGCCTCTCAAAGTGCAGGGATTACAAGTGTGAGCCATCGCACCAGGTCCCACTTTTTTATGCCATCCATATTCAATCATGTCTATATAACAAGACCTCCATAAAAACCCTCAAGCACAAAGTTTGGAGAGCTTCCAGATCACTGAGCACATGGAGGCAGCAGACAGGACAGTGAAAAAGAACTCGTTCACATGCTGGGAGGGTGGTGTACCCCATCTCCACAGGGACACAAGCTCCTGTGCTAGGGATAGGGACCCTTGCAGACCTCGCCCTATGTATCTCTTCATCTGGCTGTTTATTTGTATCCTCTAAGATAACCTTCATAATCAACTGGTAAATATAAGTGCTCCCCTGAGTTCTGTGAGCCTCTCCAGCAAATTAATCAAACCCAAAGAAGGGGTCCTGGAAACCCCAACTTGAAGCTGGTAGGTCAGAAGTTCCAGAAGCCCAGACTTGTGACTGATGTTTAAAACAGGGGGGCAGTCTTGTGGGACTGAGCCCTCAACCCGTGGGATCTGACACTATCTCTGAGTAGACACTGTCAGAACTGAATCAGAGGACACCCAGCTGGTGTTCACTGCTTGTTGGTGGGGGAAAACCCCAAGACATTTGGCCACAGAAGTCTTCTGTGTTGCTTGTTGTGGTGTGAGAGCAGAGGGAAAACACAATTTGAGTTTTCTGCAAAACACAGGCTTATCACAATATTTAAAGACATGATGTGTCTCATGGCCAGACAGAGTTGTTTGGTGTTTTTCCTCTTCACATTGTCATAAAGCTTAACATGACAATGACTTCACATACTTTTTCAAAACACTTTAAAAGAACAGCCTGAGGTTTAGACCAGCCTTCCTCTAGGAAACAGTCACAGAAAACATTTTCAATGGTGAAATGTCTCTAAAAGCTCTCACCAAACCCTGCTTTTGAAGCAGCTTCAGTCTGATAAACTGACACAGAAATAAAAAGCTTCTCATATAATAGACACCCGCCTTTACAAGCTGCTAAGCTGCCACTCACAATTATACCTCAGGCACAAGGAGGGTTTTACTCACCAGCCATTCTAATCAATTGCAATTTGTCTTTGGTGGCATTAATTTCATCTACTATCGCTAGATGATCATCAAATCAACCTAAATTCCTCAAAAGATACTGAAGGGGTTTGCAAAAATTCTTCCCTAAAAAATATTCTCTGGCTGTCCATTCCTCTCAGCAGTAATGTTCCTCCCAATTGCTTTTTAAGAATACTTATGTTTGCATATGGTGTTCTGGACAGCACACATCTGACTATATCTAGTTAGATACATCAAACTTCTGAGTAACTGAAATTGCTAAGTAAAATATCTATAAATAGGCAAATACACAGTCTGTGGCTTATAACATTCGTTTAGAAGCTATATATAGTAAAAAGTATTCTCTATAGATGTAGTACAGCTGTTATTTGAATTGTGACACGCAAAGACAATATGTATTTGAACAGCAGTTTACTTCTTTTATCAACTATCCTCATGTTTCAAATTTGACAGTTTTATTCCATTTCTTCATCTTCACCTTGAATATACAATGTGATATTTCAATTATATGATTTATTCTTATACTTTAATTCCATTTATTCCATCTAATCCATTGTCAAGGTGTTGTATTCATCCGAATGCAAAACTGATTTTCATCTACTACTTATTCAATACATAAAAATCCAATTATAAAACCATGTTGACAATGCTAACATTTGTGTGTCTTTTTCTTTTTCTTTTTTTTTTTTTTTTTTTTTTTGAGACAGGGTCTCACTCTGTGCCCAGGCTAGAGTGCAGTAGTGCAATCATAGCTCACTGCCACCTCTATCTTCCAGGCTCAAGCAATCCTCCCGCCTCAGCCTCCCACGTAGCTCCCAAGTAGCCTCCCAAGTAATCACCATGCCAGGCTAATTTTTTTTAAAATTTATATTTTGTAGAGATGGGGTCTCACTATCTTGCCCAGGCTGTGTCATTTATCTCTAAATAAAAAAATTACTGTAAGTCATATATAGGTCACTGTTTAAGGAGCTACATACATCTTATCATTCATTCAATGTTTACTCCGTGCTAGGTATACAATGACAAGCAAAACTGACATCATGCCTGAAGCTTCATAAGAGCTTCTAGAGACAGCCTCATCTATGTTATAGAGACTGCATGAAAAATAGCCATGCCCATACAAAGCAATGCATTTTAAATACATTTGCAAATTACTCTTTATTACTTACACTACATTATGTTTGGGAGATGCAATGCAAAAAAAGAGTTTTATAAAATATTCCATTGCCACCAAAAATAAAGTTCTCGGAACACCAGATGTTTCTCTGTAGGAACACATAAGAGTCAAGGGTTGGAAAGCAGCAGAGGAAAGAATGTATTCTTAGAAAAATAAACTGGATAGAAACAGGCAGTCAGTGTAAACAACTCTAAAATAAAATGATCTCAACACCTTCTGTATCAACAAGTAGAGAGTACTCCTCTTCAGGCAGAATTGATTATTTTCAATTATATTTCCTAAACCTCCACATTAACCCAAAATAAACATGAAAGTCAGGGACATCTAATGGTAGCTTTCCTTATTCAATTAAAAGCTATCAGTTCGGCTGGGCGCAGTGGCTCACGCCCGTAATCCCAGCACTTTGGGAGGCCGAGGCCGGCGGATCACCTGAAGTCAGGAGTTCGAGACCAGACTGACCAACATGGAGAAACCTCGTCTTTCCTAAAAATACAAAATTAGCCTGGTGTGGTGGCGCATGCCTGTAATACCAGCTACTTGGGAGCTGAGGCAGGAGAATCGCTTGAACCCGGGAGGCGGAGGTTGTGGTGAGCCGAGATCGCGCCATTCCACTCAAGCCTGGGCAATAAGAGCAAAACTCCACCTCAAAAAAAAAAAAACAACAACAAAAAACAAAACTCTCAGTTCTCACCAATTAACATGTCCTCCCCAAATGGTGGCTAGAAAAAGGTTTATCATGCATTCATTTTGAATGGCATTTGTGATTCCTCAACCCATGGGGAAATTTTAGGAGTTAAAAATCTGCCAACAAGGTAAAATCATAAAAAAAGGTTATGAGTCAAAGGGAAAATCACTCTTTAGTAACTAAAAAAAAGTAAACATTCTTTGAGAGTAGCAAAAAGAGAGCGAGTATAAAAAATAATTTTGGATTTTGCCTTAACTGGAAACACTAATGGACCAGCCTCTGGGCACCAATGTTTGTTGACTAAACTTAACAAATGAATTATAACTAAAAATAACACTGCTAAACTTTAAAACCAAGATGTTTTTGCTAAGCAAACTCTCCCCACAAATAGGTATCTCTTT
Source organism: Homo sapiens (assembly GCF_000001405.40). NCBI lineage: Eukaryota > Metazoa > Chordata > Mammalia > Primates > Hominidae > Homo > Homo sapiens. Next base: position 17,960,463 of record NC_000006.12, read on the forward strand.
CTATGTATTAACTATGCATTTATGAATGTGATCAGCCTGGCTAACAAATCAGTGACCATTTTGGGGTAATAACCTTCAATACTATTACCCAAAGAGGGATCCTCTTATATCAGTTATAGTTGGGGTTGGGGTACAGGGCAGCTCCTTCCTTTACCCAGGGGATATATCGAGAGCATCATCTCTCAGGAGGAGGTGAGATTTTTAAGTTGATCCAAAGGGACCATGGGTTTTAAATGTTTCAGAAATATTTTTATATGTCATTCCTCAGAGGTATATTCCCAGCAGAATAAAGGAATGTAAAGAATTGTGGTGTCTATCATATAGTAGTGCAGGAGAAACAGCAAAGTAAAAGTGAAATGAGCTGGGAAGAAGCCCCTACTGACTTCGTCATCAAGGAGTGAATTCACAGTATAACGTATCATTCATTCTTTCATTGTTTTTGAGCACGAATTGAGTACCGAACACTGCACTAGACCCCTTTCAAGATCCACAGTAGGAGAAACTAAGCCTCCTTTCAAGAAGCGTAGCATCTTTCAGTTCAAAAAAGTATTAAACAGCAGATTAACAAGTACATAAAAATATGGTTAAAATTATCTACATAATATTACAGGGGCTTAATGTTAAGCCAAGGGTCAGAGAAAGATTCTTAAAGGAAGACGTATGCTGAAACATCCAAAAGGAACCAATGAATGTGAGTTTGCAGAGAGGAGGCTAAAAGAGCACTTCAAACTGGAGAAAATACGGAAGTGGAAACTGGGATGTGCAGCTTAATGAGATCTGGACTTGGCAAGGAGGTGGACTTCACTAGTGTGGGCTGGTAAGGGGACCTGGAAAGGAGCTGGGATTCCAAAGGTGGAAGGTAGCAACTGATGTGGGATAATAAATAAGTTATTAAGATAGGCAATAAATCATGTCCCAGCATGAAAGGGACCTAAAACCACCCCAAAATTGGCCCAACAAGCACCAAGCATATTGTAAGCCCTTTATATTCTCCCCGAATTAGGTTGGACCATGTAGAGTCAAATTGAACTTTTAATATTTTACCAACTGACTACCATAAATTTGACATTAAACAAAACAGCCCAGTGACTGTATTTATAGTAGAGATGTTATTGAAGATATTGTTCTCTAAATAACACTAAAAGGACAGAAAGATCCTTCACCCAGGGCTTAGTAAATAGAATAGCTATGTTCTTTTTGAGCAACTAGCTTGTTTTCTTCTTATATACAATTGTATAACAGTTATTTTCCTGTTTGCATGGGCTTCTAGGATCCTCCAGCCAAGTAAGATGTCCACCTCCAGCAACGACATAGACTGCAGCGCACACCAGGCGTCTTACCTCTAGTTTCAAATTCTTCTCTTATTCTCACCTAAGCCCTGTGTTCCTCTGTATTCTAGGGTGCTTAGTGTTTGGTTGGCAACATTGTCTATTTTCCACATCTTAAAATTTCAGAATTGGGATACATTTGACAATCAAGGTTTAATAGTTCAACGGGCAATGGTTTTTCTTTTGTGTGGCACCTACATACCAATGTGTCTTATAATTGATGGTATTTTAGGTGCACTGAAAATATGGTAATAGGCTGGGTGTGGTGGTTCATGCCTGTAGTCCCAGCACTTTAGGAGGCCAAGGCGCGTGGATCACGTGAACAACCTGGCCAACATGGTGAAACCCCATCTCTACTAAAAATACAAAAATTAGCTGGGCGTGGTGGGGCGTGCCTGTAATCCCAGCTACTTGGGAGGCTGAGGCAAGAGAACTACTTGAACCCAGGAGGTGGAGGTTGCAGCGAGCTGAGATTGCGCCAGTGCACTCCAGTCTAGATGACAGAGAAAGACTCCGTCTCAAAAAACAAAGAAAAAAAAAACATGGTAATAAATTGAAGAACAGGCTTGAAATGTCCATAAAAGGTCAAGCTTTTGCTGCAAAGGCTGAGGAGAAGAAGCAATAAGTCATAAGGGAGACCGTTAAAAAAGCAGAGCGAGGAGAAAATTTGTGCAGGCAAGTAGCAACGGAGGGAACAGATGACACGGACCACAGAGATGAGCACAGCCAGGAAGAGGCAGCAGCCAGAGAGGCTCCACTTGAAAGAGGGTGGGGCAGGACACAACCATCTGTACCGGCCCTGCCCTCAGGAACAGCTGATGCTGGTGTGGGGGCTGTGTGCAAGTAAGGCTGAGTCTGGACAACATCCACAGGCACCCGGAGGCAGCTCAACCACAGAGTACTTCTGTTATATCTACTCTGGCCAGACAAATTCCTGTGGTCCTCTCTCTCTCTCTCCCTTTCCTCTGAGCTTCCATACATTGGAGGTGTAACACAGCCAATCTACACCTTTCCATTTAATTGGAATCTTCCTCATGCTTGACTCAAATTTTATTTCTCCAATTAGTTCTGGCTTATTAATGACAATGCAATGAATAGAATCAAACTGATGTTATCAGCCAGCCCCAAAGTTTCTTACTCAGATGCATCTGATTCAGCCCGTTAGACTCAGATCTGTCTGTCCCCTCCCCCACTACACTGTAAACTCAAAGTGCATAAAGATAATTGTTTATCCTATATGATTATAATTACATAACCAGCAGGTCTAGTCATCAAATAATTTTGCTTCCCTTTAAATGTTGTGACCAATGGAAGTGAGGTGAGGGAGTAAGAGTGTCATGTGAAAGGCTGGGTGCGGTGGCTCATGCCTGTAATCCCAGCACTTTGGGAGGCCGAGGTGGGCGGATCACCTGAGGTGGGGAGTTCAAGACCAGCCTGGCCAACATGGCGAAGCTCCGTCTCTACTAAAAATACAAAAATTAGCTGGGCATGGTGGCGGGCGCCTGTAGTCCCAGCTACTCGGGAGGCTGACGCAGGAGAATCACTTGAACCTGGGAGGGAGAGGCTGCAGTGAGCTAAGATCGTGCCGTTGCACTCTAGCCTGGGCAACAAGAGCAAAACTCCAACTCAAAAAAAATAAATAAATAAAAATAGAAGAGCATCATGTGAAGTAACATGGATAGATAAGGTCTTACAATATGAAGAAATATATTACCGATGACCACAAAAGGGCCCCAAGAGATTTGAGATTTGTAGGATAGATTTGTTCTATATCTTTCTTTTTTTGAGACAGAGTCTTGCTGTGTCGCCTAGGCTGGAGTGCTGCGCGTGATCGCAGCTTACTGCAACCTCCGCCTCCTGGGTTCCAACGATTCCCCTGCCTCAGGCTCCCAAGTAGCTGGGATTACAGGCACGCGCCACCACGCCCTGCTAATTTTTGCATTTTTAGTAGAGACAGGGTTCCACCATGTTGGCCAAGCTGGTTTCATACTCCTGACCTTGTGATCCGCCCACCTCAGCCTCCCAAAGTGTTGGGATTACGGGCGTGAGCCACCATGCCTGGCCAATATGTTCTATATCTTAATGGTGATAGTGGTTAATCAGGCATATGCAACTGTAAAAACTCAAGAAAGTGTACCCTTAAAATGGGTGCATTTTATCGTAGATAAATTTACACCTCAGCTAGGCACAATGGGTCATGCTTGTAATTCCAGCACTTTGGAAGTCTCAGGCAGGAGGATAGCTTGATTCCAGGAGGTTCGTGGTTACAGTGAGCTATGATGATGCCACTGCACTCCAGTCTGGGTGACAGAGTGAGACCCTGTCTCTGAACACCCACACCCACACACACCCACACCTCTCAATAAGGTTAATTTTAAAGTATATTAGCCAAGAACTAATTATTCAGTTTAGAGTAAATCAGCTCCATCAACTCTCTTCCTTCTCTTACAGCAGCTCATATCGTAGCCATCGCCCTAATTCTTATAAAACAAACACCCTTGAAAAATATAACTGATAATCAGAAAAGCCCAAGTTTCTACTTTTTACAAGCTGTGATCATTCACTGGCCTAAAAGGATGTTGTAATAAATCTTGTCTGTGGTTCTCAAAGGTTGACATCAAGTAATTGTACTTTATTCTCTATTGCCCTCAAATATATATATATATTTAGAAAGCAAAAATTAAAATAAGTACTAAACCCAATCATTGGATAAAATATAAGTAAATCAAATTTATAAAAATCAGTAGAAAAGTCAGTGTTATCTACTTTATAAAAACAGTAGAAAATGTCGGTGAGGAAGAAAGTGTAGGTGGAATCCTATCAAAATAAGCATGCACCAATGCTGCTTTCTCGAAGAGAAAGACAGAAGTTTAAAGAATTTTTTTTTGAAATAACATAGACAATTGGACAAAAATGATACTAGTCTGGCAAATTTTTCATGGGCTTAGGTCAGTAGAGCTTCACAGTTGTTTTGATTTTATCCCAGATAACCCAGGTCAATGTTTTTAGAATTCTGAAAGTTTTGTGGTTTTCTTGTTGTTTTGTTTTTTTGAGACTGAGTCTCGCTCTGTCGCCAGGCTGGAGTGTAGTGGTGTGATCTCGGCCCAATGCAACCTCTGACTCCCTGGTTCAAGCGATTCTCCCGCCTCAGCCTCCCGAGTAGCTGGATTACAAGCGCCTGCCACCACACCCAGCTAATTTTTTTAAATAATATTTTTAGTAGAGATGGGGTTTCACCATGTTGGCCAGGCTAGTCTCAAACTCCTGGCCTCAAGTGATCTGCCCACCTTGGCCTCCCCATAGCGCTGAGATTAAGGCATGAGCCACTGCACCGGGCCAGGATTTTAAAAATCAAAGGAAACACATGTGTCCCAAATGAAAAGGTTACAAGCTTTCCAAGAAGTCTGGATTAATTTTCTCTAATTGTTCTTAGTATCATGTTTAGATATCCTAATCATATTTAATCTTTAGCTATGTTCTGTCTGCAAATTTACTTAGGTGATAAATAAGTGTTGTTTCCATACAACCATCTAGCCATACAAACCATCTAGAACTTTACTAAGAATAGTATTCAAATATGAAATATCATAGGTAGAGATGAATAAGGCTTTTGTTGTATATGATTCAAATCTCCTACAGACCATTTTAATAACCAGTATTTCAATAATTATTGAGAGAAACTCAGAGTTCACATGCAGAAATGGTTCTCCAATCCTTACAAGATTTCACATAGCTTTTACTGAGTCAAAAGTTCCATTCTCTTTTTAGCAGCAGGAAGGAAAATAAATTATTACAAGTGACTCAAAACAAAGCAATTTAACTGTGCTTCATTAGTGAGATGTTTTCAGAGCATAGCAATAAAGATATGTGTGATGTTAAATCTCATTACTTATCCAGTGGCTTTATTAACAGGGTTGATCTTGACCTTGTTAATTTATGTTTGTCTTTTTGGTGATAGATAACACATTATCTTTAGTCATAATTTTAGATTAAGGAATAACCACAAACTCATCAAATTATTTGCTTGTAAAATTAAAAAGACGTACAATCTTTATTTATTTCTCAAATAAGTAGGTGGTTGGATAAAAGTAAGGCTAAAATGGGGCCGGGCGTGGTGGTTCACGCCTGTAATCCCAGCACTTTGGGTGGCTGAGGCAGGCGGATCACTTGAGGTTAGGAGTTCACTTGAGGTCAGGAGTTTGAGACCAGCCTGGCCAATATGGCAAAACCCCATCTCTACTAAAAATACAAAAATTAGCTGGATGTGATGGCGTGTGCCTATAATTCCAGCTAGTGAGGAGGTTGAGGCATGAGAATTGCTTGAACCCGGGAGGCAAAGGTTGCAGTGAGCGAAGATTGTGTCACTGCACTCCAGCCTGGGTGACAGAGTGAGATTCTGTCTCAAAACAAACCAAAAGTAAGGCTAAAATGAAAATTGTCAAAGTCAACTCATAAAAATTATGTGTATGTATGCGTTATTTTTTATGTGTGCTATTTTTTATTTTATTTTTATTTCCATCTCTAAAGTGGCCTAACATAGCAACCTTAGTACCCATGAGAATACCCTAGTATACCCATTAGAATTTGTCTCTAATGTCCTTTTCCTCTAAAGGGACTTAATATCTTGAAACAGTTAATATTCAAGACTCTGAATTTTTTTTTTTTTTTTTTTTGACAGTGAGCAGGATTCTTTCAAAAGTTCTGAAAAAAAAAAAAAACCCATGATTTAGAAGACTTTTAATGGTCAAGTATGACAATCTGAGCACTAACAAGAAAGGAGGGGTGAATAAATATAGAGTGTCTCCTAGATCTAATCCCAACACAACACAGTGCTTGATGGTTTCAACATGGATCGGTATGGATTCACTTGACCACATCCTTCCCATCAGATAGTTTTGAGAAATGTATCAAAAATTGTTTTTATTGTTAACATCATTATGTGTCTCACTACTTCAGCTTCATCCTTCTGTCTTATGATTCTTATTATTGCACGAACAATAATAACACACACTAAGAAAAATATCTAACATTTTTTGAGTATTTGCTGTAAATACTCAAAGCGTATTATTTATTTTACATGAAGTTGGAAATTAAAGCACAGTGAGGTTAAGCAGCGTGCCCAAAATCACCCAGCTGGGAAGTGCAGGTCCAGGCTGAGGGAACCTGGACTCCAGAGGTAATGCTCCTAATACTGCTTCCTTAATTAGGGAAAGAAAATACCAAATATTCCAGCAGTACCTAACTTGATTTAGTAGACACTCTATTCCCTTTTGGTATTATGCACTTTCTCAGGGGAAAAGTAATCCGAGGAGATAAAAACTTTGGTGAAGGAAAATGTTAAAGATAAAGCAAAACAGAAAATTTCAACAAGGCAGAACTTTGTCTTGGACTAAACATTCAGCTGAACCTAGTGCTGTAAATTTTTAGATAGTGCTACCGCCTCAAGGCAATATGCAATTGCTGTGTTTTCATAATCTTAAAAACTCAGTAGTTATTCACTCAGTGGTATAAACTACCAAGCACAGAAAAAGGAAAATGCATCACAATGTTAAAAGAATGAGTAAACTGTATTTTACCTCTAATATCTTATATTTTCAAAGTGTTCAACAGTGAATGGGCATCACATTTATAATTAGAAAAAAGCTATATTAAAAACAAAGTTCTTATGAATAAAGAAAGAGAGAACTCATCTTATGCTCAATCACTCAAGGATGGAAAACTAAACTTCTCTAGGGCAGAGAAAACTATCCGAAGTCTTTCTGGAAGACTGCACGTGTCAGGAGCAGAGATGCCTGGTTATCCATTTCCATAGTCATGATGCCCCCACACACAGACTGCTATCAGCAACAACTTTGTATAAGCTGCTCCCCATCTTTTACTCTCCAAAGGAAAGACCTGCAGTGTTAGGTTTCCTCCTGCTCCCAACTGCCCAGCCACTGAGCCATCTGCCTTCCTGCTCTGATTTCTGAACCAAGAAGGCTCAACCATGGGACTAGGACCCGCTGATGTTTGACAATCACTGTGAGATGCATCACAAGTAACTTGTTAATAAGGTGCTCATTAAGTAAGTCTGTAAAAGCTTACTTAATAAAGTCTGTGAAGGTCTTAATAAATGCTTAATAAAGCCTGCAAATGGCTTATTTAAAAATATAAATAAAAACAGGTTCAAAGCTATCCCCTGTAGACTGCCATTTTCACATGACTTCCATTCCAATGTACATTCTTGGACGGCATACTGAGAATTGCCCACAATGCTGAGAACCCCTGGGGGACTGACAAACGTAGGCATATTATTTGACATGTGTGCTGCAGTGGGGAACAAAAAAATGTTGAAAACTGCCACAAGAGTAAGCAGAAGCTGCAGCATCAACCCAATGGCCAATTAGGAACCAGAGAACGAGAAGAACCCAGAGATCCCCGCTTACTCACCAGGAGAAAGAAGAGTAAGCAGGCCAGCAGCCCTGCCACTCACAGGGCTGTCCCAGATTCACAGGCAATGGACTCCAGGTGGAGCTGGAGGAAGAGGCCCTGGCAATCTACCAGTACCTCTCCTTTCTCTCAATTCTTTCACTCCAGTCCTCTCTCCCTATGACAACAGGAGGAACAGCTTCTCATGCTGACTCACAAGAATGCCCAACTACATCAGGTTGGTGTAGGGTCCATTCATCCAGTCTGGGACCACACACCACCTCTGGGTGTATAGCTCTGGCAGTACAGGAAATGAAACATCCCGACCTCACAACTTTGCCTAGGATAGAATTCTCTTCCACTAGTTACCTGCATAGAATCTGCAGCTAATGCTGCTCCATAGGTTGTGCAGTGAACATTAAAAATGTGAACTTTGTCAAAGACTGGTGACCTCCTGGCTGGACCAACCATTACTTATCTCATGTAGTCCTAAGCAGCTACAGCCTCTGCCTGTCAGCCAAAGGCAGTAGCAGCCAAAGCTGTAAGGGTCCAGAGCTACATTTGTACTGCCATTACCCCCAAAAGCCACATGACAGCACAAAGGCTATCATTATGTAACAATTTAATGCAGAAATTAGAGGTCTCAGAGGGCCCAGACTAGAAGCACTAGAACCACCAGTGATGTGACAGACACAACCTGAGGACTTTCTACCCACAGACTCATCTACCTAGGCACAGCTCTTATAATAAAAGTCTATATCCATATCTTTCATTATATTCAACTATAAAACATCTACATCAGGTTGGTGTAGGGTCCACTCATCCAGTCTGGGACCACACACCACCTCTGGGTGTATAGCTCTGGCAGTACAGGAAATGAAACATCCAAGGCACTTACTATGTACAAGGCATGTGCCAGCTGCTTCGAGAAAGGAAGAGGGAAGAAACAAAAGACAAATAAGACAAGGGGCTCTGCTCTCAAGGAGTTTGCAGTCTAGAGGGTATGATAAGCCATTTGTACAGATTCTTCACGGACATTGAACTGGTCACTGTCTTTATTCAGAGCAATAAGTTTTGACCACACGGCTGGAGGCTCTACCTCCAATCGTGATATCTTCTGCTTTGTACTCTAGTTATTGGGGGCTGGCCCTTTGCCATCTTAGACATAGTATATACTCACTAAATGTTTGTTGTACTACTTAATTATATTTATATTAATTGGATATAAAGTTACTAGGCTTTAGTTAGCATAGGGGATTCATAGACTGCCAATACTACTTAGTCGTAAATGATTTCTGAGGAAATGACTGGCTGAAGCTAGTGACACACTGTGTTCAATAATATTAGGTTTCTATACTTTTATTTTTCTTCCTGAGGCAACTGACTTTATTATCCCCATACTTATGCTGGGGACTCTTGTTCCAGGGTTTACCATCCTGGAGAGGATGAACTTGAGGGCTTCTCTGTTAAAATTCAGAATAGAGAAATATTTTTACTTGCATATCTGGTTCTCTGGCATCCCTTACATGAATATATTTTACCCCAGAACTGTTTACTTGGGAAATCTTTTGGTTTTTGGCATTCATTTACTGACCCACTAAAATTTGGAAAATATATTTAGGATATTTAACAGAAGCATTCTAGTTTCCTTTGAATTTATTATTTTCTTTTAAAAAGTTTTAAAATATACCATACAAACCTAAATGCCTGTGTATTTACTTGTGTTTTCTTTTTTTTTTTTTGAGACGGAGTCTCGCTCTTTCACCCAGGCCGGAGTGCAGTGGCGCGATCTCGGCTCACTGAAAGCTCTGCCTCCCGGGTTCACGCCATTATCCTGCCTCAGCCCCGCAAGTAGCTGGGATTACAGGCGCCCGCCACCACGCCCGGCTAATTTTTTGTATTTTTAGTAGAGACAGGGTTTCACCGTGTTAGCTGGGATGGTCTCGATCTCCTGACCTCGTGATCCGCCCGCCTCAGCCTCCCAAAGTGCTGGGATTACAGGCGTGAGCCACCGCGCCCGGCCGTGTTTTCTTAAATAAGGGATTCATGCATGCTTTCTTAGAACAGTTTTTGATCCATTTATTCAATTTAAGTTTTTGTGTATAGAAATACATAAAAGCAGGCCGGGCATGGTGACTCATGCCTGTAATCCCAAAATTTTGGTAGGCCAAGGCGGTGGGGATCACTTGAGGCCAGGAGTTTGAGACTAGCCTGGTCAACATGGTGAAACCCTGTCTCTACTAAAAATACAAAAATTATATATATATATCAGGATGCTGAGAGAGGAGATCCAATGGCAGTGTGAAAGTAACTAGATTTCAGATCGCTTACATGCTTCCAGCAATTTGCCTGCTTCAATTACCAGGTAGTTTTCTTTTCTCTTTCCTTTTCTTTTCTCCCCTAACCCCCTTCTTTATTAATCTTAATGCAATATTTGACTTAAATATCTGCGTCCTGGATAGGCCTGGCCATGAGTGTTAATGACATGCACCTCCTTTTCCCTAATCCTCTTACTGAATTCTTTCTAGGGATGTTAGTGATAGGCTCAGATAGGAGTACTGAACAGACATAGGTTATAACCACTTAAAAGCCTTATATCCATTCACCTGAGCAGTTTGTCTCCAAAGAGCACACTCTTGGCTACAACACTTGATAGTGCTTTACAAAACTACTTATTTATACTCAACAGGTATCTATCAAAACAGTGCAAAAAGCAAATAAGAGATTTCCAAGGGAAAAGCTGCAGCTCAGAGACAAAGTAATTTACAACACTTTTACAAATTTCAATTTTATTTCGGCTTTTAAAAAGATTGGTGAGGTTATTTCAATACATCAAAATACAAAAACAAAGATGTAGGCTACCACTCAAAAAATTCAGTCTACATACAAATAACAGAGACTGGTCAATTTTTAAGGGAAAATATCCTTTAATGATTCTTAGTATGATCTGGCCTGAAGGACCCAAGATCCTCAGAACTCCAATAGCTGATGTACTATTAGACATCGCACACACCAGGGACACCTAACTGTACTTCACAGTTCAGAGTTCACATAGCTATGGTGGTATTTCCATCAATTTCCAGGAAAAGAGATAATTAATGTGATCACTTCACAAAATTAAATGTATCCAAGTTTTAAATTCTGAGATTATGTCCTTTCTCCTATTCTGGTGTTAAGCTGACCTCTATTTTATAATAAAATATTAAAATTTAGTAGCGGTTTGTTTTTTTCCTTTTTTTTTGACACAGGGTCTCACTCTGTCGCCCAGGCTGGAGTGCAGTGGTGTAATCATGGCTCACTGCAGCCTAGACCTTCTGCATTCAAGTGATCCTCCCATTTCAGCCCTGCAAGTAGCTGGGACTACAAGTGAGCACTACTACCACACCCAGCTAATTTTTCTATTTTTTGTAGAGATGGGGTTTTGTCATGTTGCCCAGGCTGGTCTCAAGCTCCTGGGCCCAAGCGATCCTCCCACCTCTGCCTCCCAAAGAATTGGGATTACAGGAGTGAGTCACCACGTCCGGCTTGCTCTTGTTTTAGTGTGATTACTCGGCATATTTAAAAGAGGCTGGGAACTCTCTGTTTATCCAAATTTTTATTTCTACTGTTTTTTAAAAATCCTTAAGTCTGAGAACCAATGAGCAAGGGCAGCTAACAGTCACTCTTGGAGGGAAAAAAACCAAAACTAGTTAAATAATAATCTAGCTAGAGAGCTTAAAAAAAATGTCCCTAGGATTACAGTAGACCAGCAATTTTTGAACACTATTTCCAATGCATAATTCATCATAAAAATGTAGACTAGGCTGTAATCCTAGAAAGAAGAATACTATTCCATCAAAGCCAACAATACTTCAAGGCTTCAAAAAACTTAAAGCGATATTACCATGCTAATGTTACCTATTTGTACTGTAACTCTTTGTAAGTCTAGATTCAAAAGGAGATGCTTAAAAGTGGATAAGGCTGCTCAAATTTAACACCGTTATCTTGATAAACCTTCCCCACTACTATCCTCCTTCCTCTTTATTCAAAACATTATCCTTGAAACAAGTAATTTTAAGGATCTTTCTCAATGTCATAATGTAACCATTCCCTGTTACAATTTGCATAGTGAATACTAAACTTTAATTAACTGTATGAATAGAAGTAGAGAGCAAAAAGGCAAAACAAAACCAAAAACAGTATTTCATTTAAAAACCTTACAAAGGTCCAATTACAACTGCAAGCTCAGCTATAAATCTTTACACATTCTCTCTTTAGCTGGGAAAATAGGTGGGCGCCAAAGGCATCAATTCTGAGGACTTGTTTTATTAAACCCTAGAACAGAATGTAAGTATGTTTAAAGGCTTGTTAATCTGTTCAACAAACTACATGTGGATTTATTGAATGTGGCCCTTCCAAAATCCGGGACAGATCTTTTCAACACTCGCAACAGATGCCTATGCAGTTCGTCGTTTTGCGCTTTCTGGTTTTCCTGAGGCTCCAGCTTGAGATACAGAAATATTTATGGTCATTTGTGGTGGGTGTGCAGTCTAGGGAGTGTCTCCCCAAGACAATACAAAGGGCCAACAGTAAAGAGCAAAGCTTCCCTTTCCTCAAAGGCTTCCTTCCTGTTCCTTGTCTTTGAGAGAGAGTGAGAAAAAAAAAAAAAAAAAAAAACAAGGCTCCAAACTTTTTCCCCTAAGGGAACTACAAACAGAGGTTTCCCTCAAGCCTCTTCTAACAGCAGCCAGTTCATCAAGCCCACAGACCAGACCCTGAAGAGCCCCATGGAATCAATAACCACTTTGCTTTTGAAAGAAAGGGGAAGAGGGCATAAACCAGAGACACAGACACACTAACCTGAGTTCATCCCACAGTGGAAGATAGGAAATATTGGAGATGAACTGGAGTTTGGTAGGGTTGCAGCAGAATCCTCAGAAACAAAACACGATGCCCAAGGAAGTTCTAAACCAACAATAAATGTCATTTCTCCACTCCCACACATATATACACTTGTTGCATAAAACAGCTGTATACCTTTAAGAACAGCTTAAAAATCACTGGATCCCACAAAGAACACAACTATATAAGATGACTACTAATTAAAAGATTCAAATCAGATGATTTTGTTATAATGTTCTGCAGACACAGGCAAAGGAGGTATGTAGAATGTCTGTAAGGAATCCAGGATTCTCAGCTAGCTGATAACGACTTCATGCTGCTGCTTTATTTCATTTGACACCTTCCATTCTCGTATCAGCTACTGCGTGCAAACCAAACCTCCCAAGAATGGTGACCCTGTCCTCTTCAGTTCACCTAACACCCTGGCCAAGAAGTAAATTAAAATGCAATGTATTTCAGCTCCTATAAATGTTACCTACTTACTCTATTTAACTCAACTCTCAAAGTACCGTTGGGATAAATCTGAACATTACAACTTAAAGAAAAAAAAAACCCTTACAGACTATCTAGTCCAGCCCTCAATTTTACAGATGAAGAAACCTAGCTGCAAAAGGATCAACAGCTATCTCAAAGAAGCAGACCAAGTCAGTGGCAGAATCAGATGGCACCCAGACGTCTCACAGTTCACTGTGCCATGCTGCTGCTCCATAGCCCAGATCGGAGCCTCTGCATGGATGTGGTCCCCATGGCTTTGCTAGAATTGTCACATCATTACAGGACTGGAAACAGGGAACTGGAGCCCACAACTCTCAAACCAGAAAGCTTAGAAAGAACCTGTGCCTTCTAACAAGTTGGTATCAGGTGAAGGATAGGCAAGTACTTTGCATTTAGATAAGTTAGGTAATTCTTTCCCCTCTAATGTAATTCAAGTAAAAACAAATAGCAAGATGCACTTTAATTAAATACATCTGTTTAGAGAGTCCTTATGTTAGGAACCTGGTTTTTTATTTTTATTTTTTTGAGACGGAGTCTTGCTCTGTCACCCAAGCTGGAGTGCAATGGCGTGATCTCAGCTCACTGCAACCTCCACCTCCCGGGTTCAAGCGATTCTCCTACCTCAGCCTCCTGAGTAGCTGGGATTACAGGCACACGCCAACATGCCCGGCTTTTTTGTATTTTTAGTAGAGATGGGGTGTCACCATGTTGGCCAGGCTGGTCTGGAACTCCTGACCTCATGATCTGCCCACCTCGGCCTCCCAAAGTGCTAGGATTACAGGCTTGAGCCACTGCGCCCGGCGGGAACCTCGTTTACTATACTAGACCGACGGTTTTCAACCTTGGCCACACATGAGAATCAACAGCCAACCATGTGCGTTAAGTCTTGGGCATTCAACCTGGTCAAACCTTTGGATGGCTATACCCCCAGACACTGTGGAGCAAAGACACGTCATATGTACTTTGCCCTGTTCAGATTCCTAACCTACAGAATTCATGGGTATTAGTAAAATGGAGTTTTTTTTAGACCACTAAGTTTTAGAGTAGTTAAGCAACAATAGTAACTGGGACACCTGGGAAGCTTTTTTAAAAAAAATCCTAGTGTCCAAGGTGCACTACAGCCCAATTAAGTGAGAATCTCTGGGTCTGGGACCCAACCATCTATTTTTAAAGCATCCCAGGAAATTCTGTGGTGCAGCTAAGGTTGAGAACCAAAGTCCACATCCATGTTGCTTAATGCACTGGCCACATATAGCTGTTTAAATCAATGAAAATAAAAGTTAAATTCCTTGATCATAACCACATGTCAAGTATTCAATGATCACATAGGGCTACTGGCTACCACATTGGACAGTGAAGATATAGCATATTTCCATCATCTCAGGAAGTTCTATTGGACAGTGCTGGTCTAGACTAGTTCTCAAAGCTTGGTCCCAAGCTACCAGCATCAGCCATCACCTGGGAACTTGTTAGAAATGCACATTCCCAGCTGGGCGCAGTGGTTCACACCTGTAATCCCAGAACTTTGAGAGAAAGAGGAGGGCAGATCATTTGAGGTCAGCAGTTTAAGGCCAGCCTGGCCAACATAGTGAAACCCTATCTCTACTAAAAATAAAAAAATAAAAAAAAACTAGCAGGCGGGGTGGCAGGTTTCTGTAATCCCAGCTACTCGGAAGGCTCAGGCAGGAGAATTGTTTGAATCTGGGAGGTGAAGGTTGCAATGAGCTGAGACTGTGTTCCGAATTAGTAGGTTCTTGGTCTCACTAACTTCAAGAATGAAGCTGCGGACCCTCACAATGAATATTACAAATCTTAAGTTGGCGCGTCTGGAGTTTTTTCCTTTTGGTGGGTTCGTGATCTCGCTAGCTTACAAAAGTGAAGCTACAGACCTTCAGCGGTGAGCGTTACAGCTTATAAAGACAATGTAGGCCCAAAAAGGGAGCAGCAACATAATTCATTGCAAAGACCAAAAGAAAAAAAAGCTTCCAGTACAGAACAAAACGCGAACAAGTTACTGCCGCTAGTTCGGGCAGCCTGCTTTTATTCTCTTATCTGGCCCCACCCGCATCCTGCTGATTGGTAGAGCCCAGAGGTCTGTTTTGACAGGGCGCTGATTGGTGCGTTTACAATCCCTGAGCTAGACACAAAGGTTCTCCACGTCCTCATTAGATTAGCTAGATACAGAGTCCACACAAACGTTCTCCAAGGCCCCACCAGAGTAGCTAGATACAGAGTGTCAATTGGTGCATTCACGAACCCTGAGCTAGACATAGGGTGCTAATTGGTGTTTACAAACCTTGGGCTAGATACAGAGTGCCGATTGGTGTATTTACAATCCTTGAGCTAGACATAAAGGTTCTCCAAGGCCCCACCAGAGTAGCTAGATACAGTGTCGATTGGTGCATTCACAAACCCTGAGCTAGACACAGGGTGCTGATTGGTATGTTTACAAACCTTGAGCTAGATACAGAATGCCGATTGGTGTATTTACAGTCCCTGAGCTAGACATAAAGCTTCTCCACATCCTCACTAGACTCAGGAGCCCAGCTGGCTTCACCCAGTGGATCCCGCACCGGGGCTGCAGGTGGAGCTACCTGCCACTCTCACGCCGGCACTCCTCAGCCCTTGGGTGGTCGATGGGACTGGGCGCGGTGGAGAAGGGGCCGGCGCTCGTCAGGGAGGCTCGGGCTGCACAGGAGCCCACGGAGCGGGTGGGAGGCTCAGGCATGGCGGGCTGCAGGTCGCGAGCCCTGCCCCGCTGTAAGGCAGCTAAGGCCCGGCGAGAAATCGAGCGCAGCGCCGGTGGGCCGGCACTGCTGGGGGACCCAGTACACCCTCCGCAGCCGCTGGCCCGGGTGCTAAGCCCTTCATTGCCCGGGGCCGGCAAGGCCGGCTGGCTGCTCCGAATGCGGGGCCCGCCAAGCCCACGCCCACCCAGAACTCCAGCTGGCCCGCAAGCGCGGCGCGCAGCCCCGGTTCCCGCTCGCGCCTCTCCCTCCACACCTCCCTGCAAGCTGAGGGAGCCGGCTCTGGCCTCGGCTAGCCCAGAAAGGGGATCCCACAGTGCAGCGGTGGGCTGAAGGGCTTCTCAAGTGCCGCCAAAGTGGGAGCTCAGGCAGAGGAGGCGCCGAGAGCGAGCGAGGGCTCTGAGGACTGCCAGCACGCTGTCACCTCTCAAAATCACGCCACCGCACTCTATCCTGGGCAACAGAGCAAGACTCCATCTCAAAAAAAAAAAAAAAAAAGAGGCTGGGTGTGGTGGCTCACCTGTAATCCCAGCACTTTGGGAGGCCAAGGTGGGTGGATCACGAGGTCAGGAGATCGAGACCATCTTGGCTAACATGGTGAAACCCTGTCTCTACTAAAAATATAAAAAAATTAGCTGGGTGTGGTGGCGGGCGCCTGTAGTACCAGCTACTCGGGAGGCTGAGGCAGGAGAATGGCGTGAACCCGGGAAGCAGAGCTTGCAGTGAGCCGAGACTGCGCCACTGCACTCCAGCCTGGGAAACAGAGCGAGACTCCGTCTCAAAAAACAACAACAAAAAAAAAAAAAAAAAAAAAAGAAATGCACATTCCCAGGCTCCACCCTAGACCTACCAAATCAGAACATGTCAGGGTGGGGCCCTCCAGGTGATTCTGATGCACATTCAAGTTTGAATACCACCCATCTTGTTACTACTGCCCATACAAAATCATTTTTACCATGTCGTCTCTCATACTTAAATATGGAAATTATCAACTTTTATCTTCACTATAATGTAAGAGAATAGTTCACGTTGTCATACAATTGCAAAGATGTATTTTTGTGCTGGCAATCATGAGAAGAAATGCCTTTCAACTAGTAAGCCAAGGGCACTAAAATGTTTCATGAAGATGCTCTTATTTGTAATCTCTAAGAGAAACAACTGTAAGGCCCAAAAATATAGAAATGATTAAAAATTCAAGAGACTATTCAATTTTTAAAATTATAAATGTGAAAACTATGACTATGACTATTTGTAGCATAACGAAATGTAAGTGGGAGAAAAGCAAAACACAATTGCAACAGCAAATATTTGTATTACATGGGCAAGGACAAAATAAAGGTAGAGGAAAAATAAGAATAACTGATTTGTTTTTATTTGTTTTTAATTTTTTTAAATTATACTTTAAGTTCTAGGATACATGTGCACAACGTGCAGATTTGTTACATATTGTATACATGTGCCATGTTGGTGTGCTGCACCCATTAACTCGTCATTTACATTAGGTATATTTCCTAATGCTTTCCCTCCCAGAATAACTGATTTGTTAAGCTTGGTAGGACAATGATTCTTTTTTGTTTCTGTCACGTTTCTTACAAAGTTACCTGTGCAAAAACATTTTAGAGTGTCTAACAATGCAACTTTTAAAAAAGATACGATTGCGCTTTGACATGAAAAGTACACTGCAAGCATAATTTGATAAAATAGTCCTACTTGATCAATGACTCACCGAATTGTTAATCTCACAGTAACATGAAATTAACACTGGATTCAATCAAATGAGGGGGCTTGGACTGGTGAAATATCAGGTCTTTCTAGTCCTGTGAGTCTAGGAGGATTCTCCTCTCTACTTTTCCTTTTTAATCTTAGGTCTACAATCGAATACAAGAATTATACATTTTTCACAAATAAAATTTTACAAAGAGATGTGAAAACTTTATTTTGTTTTTATTTAGTTTTCACCTAGTTGTTGAGTGGTAAAACACCAAATAAACTAATTTCCAAGGAGGAATTTCTTCTTAACATTTGCATGTCTAAATATCCAGAAATATTTTGTAGAGTGGTCTTTTTTGAAAAGATAACTCCTGGATCTCACATAAATCAACTCTTGTTTTAATACCTGTTTTCATCTAAATTTTAGCATTTCCATTACATCCTTTGTTGATAGCTCTGACATTAATAAACTGAATTTCTTATATGCCAAGGTACAAAGTAATCTCACCAAGTGTTTCGGAATGTCTTGTTTATTTCTCTGCTATTCTGTTTCCTTTGCAGGTAATATTCAGAAAATTTCTTTAAATTTTAAACATATAAACATCTTCTCTGCTCTTCTTCCAGGGAAGATTTGAGAAAGGGTAACTTTAGTTGGATTAGTCCAATAAACTGATATCTGCAGAATGTTTACTATTTGAGGGAAACTTGTTCCTGTAAATTTTCTTAAAAATATGAGTATATGGCATGTGCAATTTTATTGAAAATGGAAGACAATTCAAGTTTTCCACTATTTCTAGCTGGATTTCACCACCGGAAGCTGAGTTAAGTAGAGGGATGATAAACTAGCTATTTTGGTACTATTCTGAAAATATGTGATACAAAAGATATAATAATATGGCATACACCTTTTTAAATGTTACACCAAATAACTTTAACAGTGATGCAAAAAGTATGATTTTAAAAAATTTTCCAGCTGGGTATGGTGGCTCACGCCTGTAATCCCAGCACTTTGGGAGGCCAAGGAGGGTGCACCTGGAGGCCACTTGAGGCCGGAAGTTTGAGAACAGCCTGACCAATGCAGCGAAACCCCATGCCTACTAAAAATACAAAAATTAGCCAGGCGTGGTGGTGCACACCTGTAGTCCCAGCTACTTGGAAGGCTGAGGCACAAGAATCGATTGAACCTGGGAGGCAGAGGTTGCAGTGAGTCCAGATTGTGCCACTGCACTCCAGCCTAGGCGACAGAACGAGACTCCATCTAAAAAAAAAATTTCCAGCTTTTTGTATTAACAAACTATCCTTATGAATGTGGGTAACTGAGTTGTCTACAGTAGCTACTACCTTCAATTCTAGCATTCATCGATGTTCTTAAGAAAAAGAAAATTATTGCTTTTATTGTTGGAAGTTCAATAGAAAAGGGATTTGACAAAAGCTTTTAATAATAATAGTAACTGCAAAGAGAATTTACAAAATGCTTTTGGTGTGTGGGGCATTCTTGAATCTAAGCACTGAGAACACAAAGATAAATCATGTATAGTCCTTGCCCTGGAGAAACCTCAGAGTTTAGGTGAGATACAGTTATATCTGAGAGATGTCCTTAACATAAAATATACCAAAACAAACAAACAAAACAATGTGCTTTAGGGAGAAAACAAAAAGCAGACTATATGGAGAAAATTATCATTAATGTCCTCAGAGAAGATACCACAACCAAGAAACAAGAATAAGATGGTTTGAAAAAAAAAAAAGAGAGACTAAAAAAAGAGTTCTTGAAAATTAAAAATGTGATAGCAGAAACAAAAAATTAAACATAAGGATTAAACATAAGGCTTGTAAGATGTAGTGGAGGAAATCTGTCAAAAGGTAGGACAAAAAGACAAGAAGTGAAAAGTAAAAAGAAAAAATAAAACCATCAGAAGACCAGTTCAGGAAACCCCATGTCCTAAGAGGTGTTCCAGAAAAAAACAGAGAACAAAGAGAAAGGTCTTATTAATGAACTAATTCAATAATTTTTTTTTCAGAACTGAAAGACAGGAGTTTCCAGGTCAAAAAGGCCCACTGTTGTGATTTAACAAAAATAGGGAAAAAACTTCTAACAGATTCCAGAGGGGAATAAACTAGGTCACGTCCAAAGGATTAGAAACCCAAATAACTTCTCAACAGAAGCACTGAAAGATAAAAGACAGTGGAATAATGTCTTTAAAGTAGAATATGATACACAGCCACACTATCAATAAGGTGAGTAGGTAGAATTAAGATACTTTTCATAGTTTCAAAAAACTTCACCTTCCAATCATGCTTTCTTAGGAAACTACTGAAGGATGTGCTCTACAAAATGGAGGCAGGAAACCAAGAAGAAGGGAAGGAAAATAGAAAAATAGGAGATTCCACACAGAAGACAGGTCAAGGGAATCCCCTGAATGATGGTGTGGGAAACCCCTGGGAGGCAACCGCTCCAAGCCAAGAGGGCTACCAGATCACAACAGAACACGTAAGAAGGGCCAAGGAGAAATGTCTCTAAGAAGAGGAACTCTAGAGAGCACCTGATATGTTTGAAAGTCTTGAAAAAAGATTTCGGGAAGTGGCAGAGAGTTTGGATGCTAAAGTAATTAAGTACACAGAAAAAAAAGCAAAATAAAGAAAAATGAGGGAAAAAAGCAACAATCATTAACGCCAGGCAAAACAAAAAGTTTTGTATGACAAGAATTCATTGAACAATTCATAGCTCAATGTCAACAATGTTCGGTAGAGTCATATAAATAATGTCAACACTAAATATTGATCCAACCAAAATTACTATATTGGGAAAATAGGGAGCAGGTGGGAAGAATTTGGGGGTGAGGTGAGAATAAAGCAGAGAAAGAGAACAAAGAGAGCAAATAAAAACCAAGCATTACCAGCATGTTATTCAGAAATACGGTGGGAAATTCCAAAAGAATGAATTAAAACCACTAAAAGTGGTTGCCTCTGGGGAAAGAAATGAAGAGGGGGACTTTTTTTTTTTTTTTAAACACAGCCTTTATAAATTATATGACCACTTCACAATTTAAACTGTGTATACAGGTTAAGAAAAAAACAAAAACCCAGAGCCCAAGCTCTTACTAACTAAACCTATGTTTTTCAAAATATAAGTTTATGACTCATTAGTGGGTTGAGAAATAATTCGGTAAGACATAGCCATTATTTTTTTAATGAATTCTAACAGAAGGGGATAGAAAATAAAAGACATTGCATACAGTTAAGAGTATTTTTTCATAACCTTTGAAATATACATATCCACATAAACAGGTTCATAATGTAAAATGTATTTTTAACTGTTGACTGTCAACAAAATAATATAACCACTCTAAACTACAATGCATTATAATTACTTTTAGTTTTGTTTTTCTTTTTTCTTTTTTTTTTTTTTTTTGAGACAGAGTCTCGCTCTGTCGCCAGGCTGGAGTGCAGTGACATGATCTCGGCTCACTGCCACCTACGCCTCCCGGGTTCAAGCATTCCCCTGCCTCAGCCTCCCGAGTAGCTGGGACTATAGTCACACACCACCACGCCAGGCTAATTTTTTGTATTTTAGTAGATATGGGGTTTCACAATGTTGGCCAGGATGATATCGATCTCCTGACCTCGTGATCTGCCTGCCTCAGGCTCCCAAAGTGCTGGGATTACAGGTGTGAGTCACTGAGTCACTGTGTCCGGCCTTATTCTTTGCTTTCTTACAATTAACTCTGTAATATGGGCAGAGAGAAGAATAACAACACAGAAAAGAGAATTCAAAGTCCCACAGGTGATTTTATAATGTGGAGTATTACTGCTTCTTAGGTGACTTATCTTTCTAATTATGTATGACTTTCACTAATATTTAAATTTCTGGTCTACAGAGACACAGGAGCCAAGGAACCATCCTAGAAGCCTTCAGAATGGCGGAGGAAGCCAGCTTAGAAATAAAAACTTGCAATATTTACAGACTGAATAGCCCTTATCTAAAATGCTTGGGACCAGAAGTGTTTTGGATTTTGAATTTTTCTTGAATTTGGAATATATGCATTATATACTTACCAACTGAGCATTCTTTTTTTTTTTTGAGACAGAGTTTCACTCTTGTTGCTCAGGCTAGAGTGCAATGGCTCGATCTCAGCTCACCGCAACCTCGGCCTCCTGGGTTCAAGTGATTCTCCTGCCTCTGCCTCCTAAGTAGCTGGGATTATAGGTGTGCACCACCACACTCGGCTAACTTTTGTATTTTTTTAGTGGAGACAGGGTTTCACCATGTTGGCCAGGCTGGTCTCGAACTCCTGACCTCAGGTGATCTGCCTGCCTTGGCCTCCCAAAGTGCTGGGATTACAGATGTGAGCCACTGTGTCTGGCCCCCAGGATTTGGAGCATTTTAGATTTCAGATGTTCAGACAGGGATACCGCTGGTGAATAAACTAAAAAATACATACAAAGTTTAGTAAGAGGAAGCTTTCTTCAACTGACCCTCCCTCACACGATTTGCAAGGTGTATTGTTCATCCTGCCATATGGAAAAAATGAACAGGAAGCTAAAAACTTTCATGCTCTTCTACCGAGAGCCCATATTTAGCCCAACATTTTATTTTTACACAGTAGGTTAGATATGCACTTTATTTTGGAGTCTTACCTTACAATTCACTTACATAAAATAATTAAGAACAAAAACTTCTGTAGAAAGCAAGTTCCACTATATTCTTTTCACAGCACAGCATCACTTCCTAAAAGTCACGGGGATCAGACCCGTAAGCCAACCACCTATATTTTAAAAACCACCACTACCATTCACACTGAATGTAAAAAAGAATGAGTAAGTCTTAATATGCTGATATTGAAAGATACCAAAGGGGGCCAGGCGTGGTGGCTCACGCCTGTAATCCCAGCACTTTGGGAGGCCGAGGCAGGCGGATTACAAGGTCAGGAGTTTGAGACCAGCCTGGCCAACATAGTGAAACCCCGTCTCTACTAAAAATACACAAAAAAATTAGCTGGGCGTGGTGGTGGCCGCCTGTAATCCCAGCTACTCGGGAGGCTGAGGCAGGAGAATCGCTTGAACCCAGGAGGCGGAGGTTGCAGTGAGCCGAGATCACGCCACTGCACTCCAGCCCAGGTGACAGTGCGAGACTCCATCTCAAAAAAAAAAAAAAAAAGAAAGCTACCAAAGATATTTCTTAAAAAATATATAAATACTTATTTGTGTATATAGTTGTATTAAAAATGCACATATATATCTGGAAAAAAAGGCATGAGAACTAAATGACAGTGGCTACCCATTTTCCGAGAGGTGAAGAGATGGGCAAAGTAGGGATGACAGCAGGGGTGAAGAGGAAGACATTTCACTGTGTATGTCACCCTTTTTAGCAAGTTAGGGATTCTCATTCCATTGCTCCCTTCACCCCACTCCATCCCTTCACCCACACCCACCCCACCCCCAAAACTGTCTTGCTGCTGCTGCTTTTTTTTTTTTTTTTGAGATGCAGTCTCACTCCGTTGCCCAGGCGAGAGTGCAGTAGCACGATCTCAGCTCACGGCAACCTCCATCGCCAAGGCTCAGGCGATTCTCCTGCCTTAGGCTCCTAGGCAACTGGGATTATAGGTATGTACCACTCGGCTAATTTTTATATTTTTAGGAGAGACAGGGTTTCATCGTGTTGGCCAGGGTGGTCTCAAACTCCTGGCCTCAAGAGATCCGCCCACCCTAGCCTCCCAAAGTGCTGGGATTACAGGTGTGAGCTACCTCACCCAGCCCAGAACTACCTTGCTTCTGAATGGTACTCCACCCCCTCACCTCACACACATACAAGCACCCAGAAGCAATGTGTTGCAGGTATGCTTTCACTTTCATTGGCAAAGGACTCTCTCCTCGTCTTGCAAAAGTGAACCTATGCTCTCAGCATCCATAAGACCACACAAACACCACCTGTCTTGGCAAGTTGACAGGACCTTGGGTAGCATCCACAGCCCCTCCTCAATGCTCCCATCACATTTGCTAAGCCCTTGCTAAGTGCCAGTATGCAGGAGCATGAGGTACAAAGAGAAGTAGGATAAGGTACCTACCTGCCTTCAAGCAGTTCACAGCCTCCAGGGAGAGAAAGAGGAAACAGAGAATTTTGAAATTATGTGGTTCATGAAATGGCAAAAGTATACACCAGCGTAATTTACCACGTTGTATTTTAACTACTTTTTCCTCTCTCTCCTCCTTCTCTCCAAGGTGAGTGACTCTGGTGTAGGTACTGGATCCACAAGTATCTTTGAATCCCCTATGCTGAGCATGGTACTGAAATGATCTGAACTTCATAAATGTCTCCTGGAGAGCAATGCAATGGTATTTTAAGAAACAAATCCATGTGTCTTAATGTTTCAGAATGGTGATCAGTATACATATCAACTACTAACCTGGACCTATGCAATGTATTACAATACTAGAATTTCAGCAACAAAACAAACATCTTTAACCTCAGAGATCCTCTGATCTTTTAGTCCTAGCTACACAGTCTTGGCTTTGGTTTTGTAAAATGGGGAAACAATGAAAGCTGACCCCATCTGTTTTTTTTTTTTTTCCCTGGACGTCAATGCATTCTCACTTGTTTTTACTGGTAAGACTGAAAACTTTCACCCACTAACCTTCAATTTCTATCCATGGCTAATTCATTGGTAATTTCTTGCAACTTTCAGAAAAACAGTAATTCTCAATTTGACACAGGTTTGCCAATATGCATTTAAAGACCTCTTACACTTCAAACCTTGGACTTGCAGATATGAAAAATAATAACATTCTCAGTATTCTACTCTTCACCTTTGCCCTGCCCTGAGCACTATCTAAAAACCAATGACAGAAATGAATTGCAAACATAGCATGAAGCACTGCTGCAATTAATCAACCCAGAGCCCAAGGGAGGAATTGTTTCTATTTTTAAATGCACTGTTACTTTAAGGGAAAAGTCTGTGGAGAAATATGAAACCAAGCTGCATAATGAAAATAAAAATGCATTTGGTGTCTTCATCTGTGCAAAGACAGTAATCCTAATGTACAAGGAGCACTGTTTTGTTGACTACTCAGTTTGTCTGTAAATGAAATGACCGGTACTCAAGACAGAATCCCACAGAAAGCTCATCTGCTATTCAAAGAATTAGATCCGTCAGAAGGACAAAACACGAGAGTACCCATATTTCAATGCTATTTTTATAACTCCAGATAAGGGACTATCGTAAGTAAGCAGATGAATAGATCCCAAAATCACCCTTCAAATCTTTACCTAAAAGATCCTGATTAGTAACTAACGTGGTTCAGCCCGAAAAATGATCAACTGATTACTTAGCATTTGGAACCAACTGTCCACAGTTATAGATTGTACCAAATCCCACAAAATCAAATCTGTTTCTCTTCACAAATGACAACACTTCATGTCATTAAACAGTAGCTAACAGTCGCACTGCTTATGGTTAAGAGTGACAAGGAGCAGGTGCCAAGCCAGCAAGGAAAACAAGTAACGGCTACACAACAGGAGCTAAAAAGTATTCTACCTGTTCCCCCAGACTGCTTTCAAGAATCTGACCCAACAGAATTTTTTCCCGAAACAATATGCAGTTTGCGGGGGGGTGGGGGGAGGGGACATTCGTTGGTGATATGGGCATCTAATTTAATCTGTAAATATTTAATGTACTCAATGAGTTTACTTACTATCACCATGAAATATGCTATACTATCTACACTGCTATAAATGCATCTAAAAATACATCCATTACTAGACAACATTCAGTACAATGTACAATAAACACTACATTCAGTGTTAAACACAACATTTTACATATAGCTTAGCTATTTAATATCACCACCAGAATCTGCTAAAGGTAGCAGAATGTTTGCAAACTGGATAAAAACTGCTATGCTCAACACGAAAAGCAAAGAATCCCCAATCTTATCGCCTCATGATTTCTTTCCCCAAATTTGGCAAAACTGAGCTTGAACACCACACATTATAGAATGGAGGCATTGCTTCTCTAAGCAATAATGTCACAAACCCTGCTTCAGAGTCTCTCTTCAGTGAAAATCTCTGAAGAAGGAAATTCACTAAATTGTATTCCATCGATCAACAGGTGATTCGTGGAAACACAAACTCATATTCATTTCCAATGAAAATTAATATTGTAAACTCTCCCGTTTTTTCACATATATATATTTACAAGCTACTGCATTATTATATTGAATGAATTCCAACCGATTTCTTCTCAGAGGCTTACTAGAAAAATGCCAAATATTCAAATTATTTTGGGGCGTTAACCCATACTGTTGCATGGAACAGAACGGAATTAATAAGGATCCAACAGTTACCACTTTTCAAATGCAAATATGTTGCCATCTAGTAAATACAGCCCCTTTTTAAACATCCCTCAGTGTCTATACAGTTCAGGGCCCTACTTTTGTTTCTTTGAAAATCAAAATTCGCGCATTACATTGAGGCATTATCTCAACTCAGCAACAACAACTAAAATAGATACTAACTAGTCCAGCCTGAGTCTACATCGTACAAGACTTTTGCTTTATTTTTTCCTCCCATTTTAGACACACTGTCCCTAAACAATTCTGCCAAAGGAAACAAACCCTGCAGTGATGAAAAGAATCACGGACACTGGGTTCCACGAACAATAAGGTCGTGGGCTGGTCACCTGCCCGCCTCGGGCCTCAGTTTTCCTGTCTGTAAAATGTGGCCGCTGGACGAATCACCTATGGGGTCCCATCCGGCCCTCTCCCTCCCGGGTGCCTCGCAGCCCGCCCGGGCTCAGCTGACTGGTGCTGTGGCCAGGGTGCCCTGCCTGCCGCCGCTCTAGATGGAGGAGAAGGGGGGCGAGGGAGGAGAGGAACTTGGACTTGCAACAGCTTCAAACAGGAGCCGGCGACAAACTTGAAGCCGTCCTCCTAACAATAGGAAAGAGCACTCCCATTTTCCTGGCTCAAACTTGCGGGACCCCGCGAGGCTGGATCCTCCCAGCCGCCCTCTCGGAACCCGCTTTACCTTTCTCCCTGTTTGGTGTTAGAAGGAGGAGGGTGCAGGACCGTTTGATTCCCTTCCATCTCCACCACGCACTTGGTGTTCAGTTCCAGTTCTGAAAGCAGAGAGAAAGGGACGTTGCAAAGTCCAGCATCCGCGCCTCCAGCCCGCCCGCCCGCCAGCCGCGCCGAGCGGGGCTCCGTCCCTGGAGGCGGCCGAGCCTGGAGACGGCGCCCCGGGCACCACGGCCAGCGCGGACGCCGCCTCCGCCCCGGCCCCCCGGCCCCGGCCGCGCTCTCGCCGTCCCGGCCCCGCAGTTTCTAAAGTTGCCCCCGCCCTCAGCCCGAGCAGAAATAAAAAAGAGCGGAAAGCTCCTCACCTCGTCGGTTCATGGGCCGGACCCGGACGGCAACTTTTACCTTGGTATCCGACATGTTGGCTGCGCTCGCCCGGCCGCTCGCCGCGCCCGCTCGGCCTTAGGCGGCCCCTCACGCGCGGCGCCGCCGCCGCTGCAGCCGCGCGCCCCTCGAGCGCGGCCGCCGCCGCTCCGCCGTGAGCTCCGAGAGGCAGCGCCGAGGCGCGCGGGCCATCCCGGGGGAGCGCGACGCGGGGCACGGCCGCGGCCCGGGGAGGGGCGGGCGCGCGGGGCGGGGCGCGGCGGCGGCGGCGGCGGCGGCGGGCGGGGAGGAGGCCTCGCCGGCGGGCCCAGGCGCAGCTCTAGCCGCGCCGCCCCAGCCGAGACCGCAGCGCCGCGGCCCCTCGCGGCTGCCCGGGGCCCCGCGCCGCCATGTTCCGCGCCCGTCACCCGCCGGGGCTCGGGAGAGGCCGGACACGGCCACGCGCGGCGCCCCCTGGAGCGGCGGGACGGCAGTGAGAGGAGCGGCGAGCAGCGCGGCGCTTAGGGGAGGCTGGAGTCCGGGGCGGGACGCATTGTTTCCCCAGGGGACCTCCCAGGCCAAGCCTGCACCGGCGCCCGCGGGGCCCCCCCCCGGACACCGCCGTGAGCTCGAGCCGCCTTCTGGGGCCGCTGCCACCCGGAGCCCCGGGACGGCAGCAAGGACCACGGCTCGCCGCGCTGGGTGCGCAGGCCTTCCCCTCCGAGTCCCGGCACGCCGCCCCCTCTGTCCCACACGGAGCCTGCAGCGGTATTTTAAGATCTCTGTGGTGAACCGAGACTAGAAATGAATCTGTGAATCCACCACCGAAACAGTGTATGTTTGTAAATAGTGCTCTCCCTTCCTTTCCCGGCCTCTCTTGTCTCGGGAGGGATGTCAAGTGGGCTGGGAGGGCCATTAACTCTTACATAAGAATTTAATAGCAATGGATTCTGTCATCCTGCCAAATGCAGACCTCGCTGCCAGGGCGGAACTGGGCGAATCCGATTTATTCTGTTTGGTTCAACAAGTGCTTAAGGGGCGCTCACCGAGTGCCAGGCATTTTGAAGCGTACAGAAGTCAAAAATCCAGAGTTTAGATCCAGGAATCTTTCGATTTTGCTTAAATCTAGAAATCCACTTATTGGAAGATGCATTGAGGTTTTACTGTGTGCAGGGTGCTGTTGAGGACACACAGAAACATGAATAGCATGATGCAGAGGCACACGCTAAGGTGGAAGAGAGGGCGTGGAGACTTATTATGCTAGACAGTGTACGGCAGGTGCTAGGAGAGGGGTCCGTCCGCCTCCAACCGAGGTGATGCTACGCTTGACCCTCGAACAACACGGGTTTGAACTGCACGAGTCCACTTACACGTGGCTTTTTTTCAACCAAAATCTGATTGAAAATACAGTATTCGTGCTCTGGCACAGTGCCTTACGCCTGTAATCCCAACACTTTGGGAGGCCGAGGCGGGAGGATCACTTGAGGCCAGGAGTTCGAGACCAGCCTGGGCAATGTAAAGAAACCCCATCTTGCCAAACATAAAAATTTAAAAAATAGCCGGGCATGGTGGCAGGTGCCTGTAGTCTTAGTTACTGGAGAGGCTGAGGTGGGAGGATCACTTGAGCCTGGAAGGTTGAGGCTGCAGTGAGCCATGTTCGCACCACTGCACTCCAGCCTAGGCAACAAAGCAAGACCCTGTCTCAAAAAAAAAAAGGGAGAAAAAAGAAAAGACAGTATTTGGCAGGTTCAAAACTGAGAGATCCAACTTTTCCTATTTGTGGGTTCTGCAGAGCTGACTGTGGGACTTGAGTATGCATGGTTTTGGATGTTCCTGGAACCAGTCCCCTGTGTACACTGAAGGACAAATACTTCAGCCCCACCTTATTGTAGAGCCAGCTATCTCAGTCTACCTCTGAAGGGCCTGTTGCATCTTTCCTCCTCTCCATTCCTGCTGCTGCAATCTCACTTTACCTGTCCATTCACTTGTTCAACAAATGTGTTCTGAGCGCCCTACTATGTTACAAACACTGTTGTAGGCTTTAGGCTACAGGCTCTCAGCTGCTGCTCAGAAAGAGGTGAAATTTCCAGCCCTCTGAGGCTAAGAATCTAGGTCTGTGCTTACCTCTTCACTTTTGGGCTGCTGAGACATCCTGTTAACCCTCCTAGCTTTGCCTCCTCTAATCACTCCTAAATCCAGCTTCCAGACTGATTTTTCACAAAATTAAAATTTTATCCTTTAATCGTGCATGGTATTCTATTGTTCAAAAAACTCTCAGGCTGGGCACGGTGGCTCACGCCTGTAATCCCAGCACTTTGGGAGGCCGAGGCTGGCAGATCACCTGAGGTCGGGAGTCCGAGACCAGCCTGACCAACATGGAGAAACCCCGTCTCCACTAAAAATACAAAATTAGCCAGGCGTGATGGCACATGCCTGTAATCCCAGCTACTTGGGAGGCTGAGGCAGGAGAATCGCTTGAACCTGGGAGGCGGAGGTTGCGGTGAGCCAAGATCGCACCGTTGCACTACAGCCTGGGCAACAAGAGCCAAACTCCACCTCAAAAACAAGCAAACAAACAAAAAACCTCTCTGTTTAATATTACCTCCCACCATTCCTGAAATTCTTTATCCAGGACCTTTTCACAAGCAAGATACCATCCCTATGCTAAGCCATTGCTCTGGTAGTTTCTATCAGTGGGAATTGTAGAGGGTTGAATTTGTAACTCCCAAAAAGGTATGTACAAGCCATAACCTCCAGTACCTGTGAATGTGACCTTATTTGGAAACAGGGTCTTGGCAGAAATAAAATTAGGATGAGGCCATACTGGGTTAGGATGGTCCCTAAATCTAATGACTAGTGTCTTTTTTTTTTTTTTTTTTTTTGAGACAGAGTCTCGCTCTGTTGCCCAGGCTGGAGTGCAGTGGCACGATCTCAACTTACTGCAACCTCCACTTCCAGGTTCAAGCGATTCTCCTGCCTCAGCCTCCCAAGTAGCTGGGACTACAGGCATGTGCCGTCATGCCCAGCTAATGTTTGTATTTTTAGTAGAGATGGGGTTTTGCTGTGTTGCCCAGGCTGCTCTCGAACTTCTGACCTCAGGTGATCTGCCCACCTCGGCCTCCCAAAGTGTTGGGATTACAGGTGTGAGCCACCGCACCTGGCCTGACTAGTGTCTTTATTAGAGAAAGGAGAGGGGGATTTGGATACACAGGGAGGAAGACCATGTGAAGACAGAGGCAGAGATTGGAGTGATGCAGCCACAAGCCAAGGAACACCGAGGTTTGCCAGGAGCCACCAGAAGCTAGGAGGAGGAAAGGAAGCCTCCGGAGGAAACACGGCTCTGCTGACACCTTGATTTGGGACTTCTAGCCACCAGAACTCTGAGACACTAAATTTCTGTTGTCTTATGCCACCCATTTCATGGTCATTTGTTACAGTAGTCTTAAGAAACTAATACAGAGGCCAGGCGCAGTGGCTTATGCCTGAAATCTCAGCACTTTGGGAGGCAAAGGTGGGAGGATCACTTGAGCCCAGGAGTTTGAGACCAGCCTGGGCAACATAGGGAGACTCTGTCTCTACAAAAAATAAAAAATTAGCCAGGCGTGATGGCGTGTGCCTGTGATCCCAGCTACTTGGGAGGCTGAAGCAGGGGGGATTGCTAGAAAGCCTAGGTCAAGGCTGCAGTGAGCCATGATTGTACCACTGCACTCCAGCCTGGGCAACAGGGTGAGACTCAGTCTCAAAAAAATAAAGAAAGAGAGGAAGGATGAAAGAAAAGGAAGGAAGGAAGAAAGGAAGGGAGGATATACAAAATTTAATCAATCCCTTCTCTGTCTCATTTTCTCCTTCTCCCTCATTCTCTGCCAGATCATGAAAGCCTTGAGTGCCTAAGAAATTTCATGTTTATTGTAAAGGCAATAGGAACTGAATGAAGCATTTGGATTTGGAGCCAGGGATTGACATATTCAGAGCATTGATTCAGGGTAATTAATTTGGCAACACTGTATCCATCCAGAGGACTATTGTAGTCATCCAGATGAGGTGATGATATCATCATCCAGAGGTGATGATAGCATGAACAAAGCCAATGATAGCACAAATGGAGCAGAAGGAACAGACGCAGAACTTACTGCGAGAAAAGTGGAACAATTTAGCAACCAATGGGATGTGAAGATTGAGGGAGGCAAAGGATTGCAAGTGACTGAGAAAGGGATTGGGAGGATGATGGCCCATAACACCACGAATAGTTGAGAAGAAGAATAGGTCTTAAGGTGAGAGGGGCATGATTCATTTGGTGTTACAGGTTAGAAAAACAGTTCCCATTGGTTCTTTGCAGAGTGACTCTTCTTTCTGCTTTCCTGACCCTTTCCAACTTTAAAGACCAGATTAGTCCTCACCTCTTCTATGAAGAGTTTACTAGTCTGGGCATGGTGGCTCATACCTATAATCCCAGCATTTTGGGAGACTGAGGTGGGCGGATCACTTGAGTCCAGGAGTTCAAGACCAGCCTGGCCAACCCAGTGAATCTCTGTCTCTACTAAAAATACAAAAAAATTATCTGGGCATGGTGGCACATGCCTGTAATCCCAGCTACTTGGGAAGCTGAGGCATAAGAATTGTTTGAACCGGGGAGAAAAGAGGTTGCAGTGAGTCAAGATCATGCCACTGTACTCCAGCCTGGGTGACAGAGTAAGACTCTGTCTCAAAAATAAATAAATAAATAAATAAATAAAAGTTTACTAAACATTTCTTTTTCAAAACAGTTTAGCCTTACATCATTAGGAATTATGTCTTTTTAGCGTTTGAAGGGCCTTTGGGAGTCCTGTGGACCTTTTTACAACAGCCCCCAAAACGGCCACCCATTCCGTGCTTGGATTCCGCTGACAGAGTTCTCAAATTGGAAGAGAAGCTGAACTCAGTCAGGGGACTCCTCAAGTTCTTCGCCTAGGAAAGGCCTCCATGAAGAATCAGATTTGCATCCCTGGGCATTCCACCTAGTGACAGAAGTGCTGCCTTCTCCTGCTTCCCATGCCAAATCTAACTCCCTTTTTTTTTTTTTTTTTTTTTTTTTTTGAGATGGGGTCTTGGCTGTATCACCCAGGCTGGAGTGCAGTGGCGCAACCTCGGCTCACTGCAACCTCCGCCTCCCAGGTTCAAGTGATTCTCCTGCCTCAGCCTCCCGAGTAGCTGGGATTACAGGCACACACCACCACACATGGTTAATTTTTTGTATTTTTAGTAGAGAAGGGGTTTCGCCATGTTGGCCACGCTGGTCTCAGACTCCTGACCTCAAGTGATCTACCTGCCTCAGCCTCCCAAAGCGCTGGGATTACAGGCATGAGCCACCATGCCCAGCCTCCAAATCTAACTCCTGCTATACCTGAAGCCCCTCAGATACTTGAGGCTGGCTTTCATGTCCTTCTGAAGACTTCCATTCCCCTAGAACATGCTGTTCTGGTTACTGTTGTAGTAAATCCCACCAAAATTTAGTGTCTTAAAACAACAACAATCTGGTGGTGTGTGCCTGTAGTCCCAGCTACTCAGGAGGGATGCAAGGACTTTTCTATCATGACAACAGGAGAGTTTGGGATGCTGGACAGTATCCCATTCTGGAGTCAGCGAGGAGAAGAAGCTCAGAGTGTGGGCCCACTGCATACAGGTAAAGGCCCATCAGAGAGCTGGCCCAGCCTGGCTAGAGGCCCTGGACTGGGGCTGAGGTATGGAAAGACCGGTGAGGCTTGCTTGACAGAACACTCTGGCCCAGCCATCAGCCAGCCTTACAATGCCCACAGATCACCATATGCCAACGAATACAGCCATGCGTACTAGTCACTAAGAGGGCCCTGGTCTATGCTCCTTTGTCAGGAAGAGCTTGTTAGCATAGCTTTACTTTAGAAACTGGAAACACCATGGGTTCTGAGGAACTGGCAGACAACTGATAGATAACAAACATCCCAAGGACTCTGGAATCATCCCATTTCAGATGTAAGACTAAGTTCCAAAGTTATTTCAGTCAGAAGTAGCAGATCAGGCTGCCAGGCTGATCTAAAAATTGCTAATGTCTTAAGTCTGCAGAGAATCAAAGAATAATCATAGAACAGTCAAATACTTTTAAATAAGAGGCTTTCTATAAACTAGTTTAACAACCATGAGTCAGCCTAGGCTAAGTTATGACATGGTGACCAACAACGCTTGAATCTCAGTGGCTTACAAAAAGCTTTATGCCCTACACGCATGACTTGTCCATCACAGCCTGCTTGTGGTTTTGCTTCTATCATTTTCTTTCTGAGTCCTAGGCTGACGAAACAGCCCCTAGCTGAGTCAACGCTGGTTTTGTAACAGAAGGAAAGGAGAAGGTGGCAGACCACACAATAGCTCCTCAAGTTTTGCTCAGAAATGGTACACATTGGCTGGGCACGGTGGCTCACGCCTGTAATCCCAGCACTTTGGGAGGCCGAGGCGGACAGATCACGAGGTCAGGAGTTTAGACCAACCTGGCTAACATGGAGAAACCTCGTCTCTACTAAAAATACAAAAAATTAGCCAAGCGTGGTGGCAGCGCCTGTAATCCCAGTATTTGGGAGGCTGAGGCAGGACAATCGCTTGAACCCAGGAGGTGGGTGTTGCAGCAAGCCAAGCCCATGCCACTGCATTCCAGCTTGGACAACAGAGCAGGACTCTGTCTCAAAAAAAAGAGAAAAAGAAAAAAGAAAAAGAAAGGAATGGTACCCATCCCTTCTCAATTTTCATTGGACAAAGGAAGTCACACGGTCAAGCCAAGCATCAATGGAAAAGGGAAAAAGAATTCTCCCCCAGGGAGGGACTCCAAACCATTTATTACAAGAACATTTATATTTCACAACAGTTAACAGTAGATAACATTTATTAAACACTGACTACTTACCAAGCATAGTTTCATTATTTAATCCTCTCAATAACCCTATGAGGCACAAACTATTATTGTCATCCTTCATTATAACTAACCGGTAAAAAGTAAAGAGACAATTTAAGCAGCTTGCCCAAGGTCACATACCTGGGAAGTGATGGCCTTGGGATTTAAATGCAGGTCTTCAAAAACCACAGCTCTCACTTCCACACTGTGACTGCTTCAGATGTGTTTTCCGAAATAAAGCTGCCGACCTACATAATTGGAATGTGCACGTGAGTGGTTTTTCTAAGGGTGATAATGGATTTGCCTTGACTCGTCTCTATTTTTCTGGCACAAAAAATATAAGCAATATAAACAACACTAAATATTATGCTTTACAGTTCAATGCAATATGTAGTCTCCACAAAAGAGTTACAAAATTTATGGGAGATAGAAAAGATGATAATCCTTTTGACAGAAGTAAGGGGTAGGCCACACACAGTGGCTCATGCCTATAATCCCAGCACGTTGGGAGTTTGAGGCGGGTGGATCACCTGAGGTCAGGAGTTCAAGACCAGCCTGGCCAACATGGTGAAACTCTGTCTCTACTAAAAATACAAAAATTAGCTGGGCGTGGTGGTACACACCTGTAGTCTCAGCTACTCAGGAGGCTGAGGCAGGAGAATTGCTTGAACCCAGGAGGCAGAGGTTTCAGTGAGCTGAGATCATACCGCTGCATTCAAGCCTGGGTGACAGAGCAAGACTCCGTCTCCAAAAAAAAAAAAAAAAAAGTAAGGGGTAAAGGAAATTGGGCTCAGAGTAGCAGAGTAGGAAAAGCAGACTTTGATGTCAGACCCACTGTGGTTTGTTTTCCAGCCTCTGTAACTCTTTTTTTTTTTGAAGGGTCTTACTCTGTTGCCTAGGCTGGAATACCGTGGCACAATCTCAGCTCACCGCAACCTCGACCTCCCAGGCTCAAGTGATCCTCCCACTTCAGCCTCCCGAGTACCTGAGACTACAGGTGCATGCCAGTACACACAGCTAATTTTTGTATTTTTTTGTAGAGACAGAGTTTTGCCATGTTGGCTGGTCTTGAACTCCTGAACTCAAGTCATCCACCCACCTCACCCTTCCAAAGTGCTGGGATTACAGACATGAGCCATGGCACTCAGCTCAGCCTCTGTTAGTTACTTTCTGTGTTTACCTTGGACATGCAAGCCTTGGGTCTCTTGTATGTCAGGTGGGTATAATAATGCCCATTTTACAGGGTTCTTGTGAGGGTTAAATGAGATAATGTATGTAGAATGCCTGGTGTGGTGGCTGGCACATAGGTAACAGACATTCAACAAGTGGTAGTTGTTATTCTTACCGTTGTAGCACTTGTTATAGAGGAAAGGATAGAATTTTTTTCTTTTTTTTCTTTTTTTTTTTAGATGGAGTCTCACTCTGTCACCGAGGCTGGAGTGTAGTGGTGTGATCTTGTGTCACTGCAACCTCCACCTCCCGAGTTCAAGCGATTCTTCTGCCTCAGCCTCCCAAGTAGCTGGGACTACAGGCGCACACCACCACGCCTGGCTAATTTTTGTATTTTTAGTAGAGACAGGGTTTCACCATGTTGGCCAGGCTATTCTCGAACTCCCAACCTCAAGTGATCTGCCAGCGTTGGCCTCCCAAAGTGCTGGGATTACAGGCAATAGAATTTCAATATGAATAGCTGTGGAAGAGCAGAGACTAGCAGGAACTAAGCACGTGGGCAGGAAAACAATGAAATGCTGTGCTTTAGGAATCTAATCAAGTATTGGATACAAAAGAGTTGAACCCAGAGAAATCAGACACTGAAAATTATTTGGGAATGGACTGTCCAAGCTAGCAGTGAGGAGGGTCAGAAGCGGGGGAACAGCAGGGACAATAGTGAGGAAGAGAAGGTTCAGGACACATCTCTTGATGGAGATATCCATCTGTGCCCCAGGTTGGCAGAGCCCTCTTCCCTTGCCCTCTTCTGAGCAAGACAAGCAACTGATCAGAATAGGGTCTGTGGTCTCTAACAATGCACAGACCCATAAGCCAGCCTCATAAGCACGATAACCTCCCCAGGATCCCACACCTGGCTGACCATCCTTTGGAACCAGCTAAAGCACAGATTCCAGAATCTTCCCTCAGGCAGAGGTTTAGGAGGTCTGGGCTGGCCTGATTCTGAAGTAGCCCATGCCTGGACTGGCATTTAGGAATAGCTTGACTAGGCTCCAGCCCACATTGTGATGAGAGAGGGATTGTCCCTGGCTGTTGTATAACCTTGGAATCATTTGGAACTAGCCAAAACTAAAACAAAGTGAGAAGAAAGAAGAAGGCCAAAACGAAACATAGGCCTTTCCTGAGGGATTTATCCATATGTGAAGACTTCAGATTGGAAATTGTAAGAACTCAGCTGCTCCTAAGGAGTGCAGGGGACCAAGTCAACTTTAGCTTTTATTCTACAGACAACATGGGTAGAAAGTAGAAAAGCTCCTTGTATCCATCTGCCAGTGAATCCATTCATTTATCAAATGTGTACTGAGTGGCAGCATCTGAGGTACTGTGAGAGTTGCTGGGAATTCAGAAACAGCACTTTCTCCGCCCTCAAGGGGTTTCCAGGCAAGGGAGGACAGCCAGATGCAATCTAAAGTGGGACACACTCTGGCAGTTGTGTGAACCAGGTTGGTGGGAAGTGACAATTCCCATCTTGAGGGAGACTTCACATTGGAGAGGTCATTCGAGCTGGATCTTAAAGGTTCAGCGGGTAGTTTGCCAAGCAGAGAAAGAGAATGCCTTAATCACGTATCACTGAGTTGGAAGACACAGACGAACTCAAACTAGCTGAAGCGAAAAGAGAAGTACATTGGAAGAACACATCCTTGAGAAGTTACCACATCTCATGAAGGGCTGTAGCCAGGGTCTAGAAAGTTGGGAATTTAAGTTACTACCTTCTTTTTTTTTCAGCTCTGTGGTCTTTCATCCCATTCTCTGTGTTTAATTTCTTCTTCTTCTCTCTCTCTACACGAGTTTTGTTGTCTTTCTCTGTACACATAATGAAAAATTACCACCTCAGACCCCTTTGCTTATGTCCTTGTTCCATGTCCCAATGATAGCCAACCAAGCAGAGGTTAGCTATCATTGTCTTGTCTTCTAAGTGAACACAGGTTCC
Source organism: Homo sapiens (assembly GCF_000001405.40). Classification (NCBI taxonomy): domain Eukaryota; kingdom Metazoa; phylum Chordata; class Mammalia; order Primates; family Hominidae; genus Homo; species Homo sapiens. The sequence continues at coordinate 17,997,456 of NC_000006.12, forward strand.
ATTAAAGTCAGAACTTGTTGGGGGTGCAGGAGGGGTTCCTGATAAAGAGGGAAGAAACAGAAGAATCAAAAGTTTTGACAGTCTGGCCAGGTGCAGTGGCTCACACCTGCAATCCCAGCACTTTGGGAGGCAGAGGTGGATGGATCACCTGAGGTCAGGTGTTCGAGACCAGCCTGGCCAACATGGTGAAACCCCGTCTCTACTAAAAATACAAATAATTAGCCAGGCATGGTGGTGGGCTCTAGTAATCCCAGCTACTCGGAGGCTGAGGCAAGAGAATTGCTTGAACCCAGAGGGCAGAGGTTGCAGTGAGCTGAGCTCAAGCCATCACACTCCAACCTGGGTGACAGAGCAAGACTCTGTCTCAAAAAAAAAAAAAAAAGTGTTGACAGACTGAAGAAAATGCTGGGTCAACTGAGCACATGGGATGAGCATACAGGGGAGAGACAGTGATCAGCAGAGTGGAGGAGGGAGAGGAGGGAGAGAGTCACGGGTGGTGGGACACTGAGAAAAGAAGGAGGGAATTTGGTATTTTCAGGTCCTGTGTGTGGTGGGAGTTGATAGTTAACTTCCTCAGACCCACCACACTTTCTCCGCTGCTGTGGTTCATTCAGAAAGGATATTTTCTTTCATTTGGCAAAAAAATAGATACGGACTGCATCTCCACACGACCTCCAAGCATGAGATCATTCAGACTCCTGCTCCTATGATCCTACCTTCTGTTTCCCTCCAGAGGAGAACCATGTCTAATCAACCATAGGAAGTGGCCAAAAGAGGAAGCAGGAGCTTGTGGGTCCAGTGTGGAGAAGGCAAAGACTAGGCTGCTGTTCCACACCTTCAGAACACTTTGTCAGTGTTGGTTGCTGCAGGGCTGTAGCCTGGGTCTGGAAAGTTGGGAATTCAAGTTACTGTCTTCTTTTCCTGCCTTCTTTTCTCTTTGGCTAGTTTGAATTCATCTCCATTTCTTGCAACCCAGTGATTCCTGATTAAGGCATTCTCTTTCCCTGCTTGGCAAACTACCCTGTGAACTTTTTGGATCCAGCTCAAATGTCCTCTCCAATGTGAAGTCTCTCTCAGGATGGGAATTGCCACTTCCCACCAAACTGGTTTACACAACTCTGAGACTGTGTAGAGTAAGCACAGTCAATGACACATAAAGGCATGATGTGGAAAACATGGGGGCAAGGAATGGAGATTCTTTTGAACTATCTTGTCACCTATGAGTCATAAACAAAATGTCCTGTCCCCAGACCGTAGAAGGTTGCAGCACCTGAATGAAATGGAAGGAAAGGACAAATGACCCCAGGGAAAGTCTTGGGCTGGAAAAGCCTGTCTTTGATGCTGTTCCCAGGCCACTTTGGACACCCTGCTGCCCTGTCTCTTCCTTCTTCAGGGACTCTTGTCTGCTTCTAGACTTGTGAATAACATATACCATAACACCCTCACACAGTTCAAATATCAAATAGTGTAGAAAGATTTGTAAAATTATCAGCCACTGCCCATCCTTTTCTCCCTCCTGTCCTAGCCCTCCGGAGCAAGCACTTTTTAAAAAAGTTTATTTAACTTTATTTATTTATTTTAGAACTGAACTCTTGCAGGCCGGGCGCGGTGGCTCACGCCTGTAATCCCAGCACTTTGGGAGGCCGAGGCGGGCGGATCACGAGGTCAGGAGATCAAGACCATCCCGGCTAAAACGGTGAAACCCCGTCTCTACTAAAAATACAAAAAATTAGCCGGGCGTAGTGGCGGGCGCCTGTAGTCCCAGCTACTCGGGAGGCTGAGGCAGGAGAATGGCGTGAACCCGGGAAGCGGAGCTTGCAGTGAGCCGAGATCCTGCCACTGCACTCCAGCCTGGGCGACAGAGCGAGACTCCGTCTCAAAAAAAAAAAAAAAAAAAAAAAAGAAATGAACTCTTGCTATGTTGCCCAGGAGGGTCTCTTAAGTTCTAGCTTCAAGCAGTCCTCCCTAAGGGTTGAGATTACAGGCATGAGCCACCGTGCCTGGTCTGGAGCAACCACTTTTAACCTTACGTACCTGCTCTGTGCACGACACTGGGCAAGTTACACACGTTCTCTATACCTCAGATTCCTCATCCACAAAATGTCACTAATAATACGACTCCTTTGCAGTTTTATTACTATTATCTCATTTATGAAATGAGATAATCTCCTAGTCAGCATTTTCCCGAGAAACAAAAACAATAGGATATAAAGAGATTTATTATAAGGAATTGGTTCACACAAATATGGAGGCTGAGAAATGCCACTATCTGCCATCTGCAAGCTGGAGAACCTGGAAAGCTGGTGGTTTAATTACAGACCAAGTCTGAAGTTCTGAGAACCAGTAGCACTAATGACGTGAGTCCCAGTCCGAGGGCAGGAGAAGACTGATGTCTCAGCTCAAGCAGCCAGGCAGAGAGTGGATTCAGCCTTCCTCTGCCTTTTTTTGTTCTATTGAGACCCTGAACAGATTGGGTAGTGCCCACACACTTTGGTGAGGTCCATCTGTGTTACTCAGTCTACCAAATGCTAATCTCATCCAAACACACGCTCACAGACACACTCAGAAATCATGTTTAACCAAATATTTGGCACCTCATGACACAGTCAAGTTGACACATAAAATTAATGATCACCATCACACCATGTAGAGTGACTAGCATTGTGCCTTCACACAGTAAGCATTAATGTTAGCTTTCATTATCACAGTGTGTTTTAATCCATTAGTTTGTTTGTTCCCCCATTGGACTGTTTCTTAAGGAATTAGCCAATGACACAATTCAATAGCATAGAACAAAATAACCTGATTAAAAATGGACAAAGATTAGCCAGGCACGGTGATATGCACTTGTAGTCCCAGCTACTTGGGAGGGCTGAGGCAGGAGGATCCCTTAAGCCCAGGAATTTGAGGCTGCAGTGAGTTAATGATCACACTACTGTGCTCCAGCTTGCTGTGTGACAGAGACCCCATCTAAAAAAAAAAGGCGAGGGCAAAGGACCTGAATATGAATAGACACTTTCCCAAAAAAGACATACAGAGGACTAGGTGTATGAAAATGAAAAGGTGTTCAACATTACTAATCATCAGGGAAATGCAAATCACAGCCACAGTGACATATCACCTCACACTTGTTAGGACAGTTGTTATCAAAAAGAAAAGATATAAGTGTTGGTGAGGATGTAAAGAAAAGGAAACCCTTGTATACTGTTGGTGGGAAGGTAGATTGGCATAGCCATTATGGAAAACAGTAGTAGGAAGGCTTCTCAGAAAATTAACAGTGGAACTACCATATGATCCAGCAATCTCACTTTTGGGTATATATCCAAAGAAAATAAAATCAGTATGTTGGTCAGGCACAGTGTCTCCTCCCTGTAATCCCAGCACTTTGGGAGGTCACTTTGGGCAGATCACTTGAGGCCAGGAGTTTGAGACCAGCCTGGGCAACATGGCGAAACCCTGTCTCTACAAAAAATACAAACATTAGCCGGGTGTGGTGGCGCACACCTATAATCCCAGCTATTCTGGAGGCTGAGGCATGAGAATCGCTTGAACCCAGGAGGCAGAGGCTGCAGTGAGAGTGAGCCGAGATCGCACCACTGCATTCCAGCCTGGGTGACAGAGCTAGACTCTGTCTCAAAAAAATTAAAATAAAATAAAATAAAATAAAATAAAATAAAATAAAATCAGTATGTTGAAGAGATATCTGCACTCCCATGTTCATTACGGCGTTGTTCACAGTAACCAAAATGTGGAAATGTAAGTGTCCATTGATGGCTGAATAGATACACACACACACACACACACACACACACACACACACAGTTGAATCACATTCAGCCATAACAAAGAAGAAAATCCTGCCATTTGTGACAACATGGATGAACCTGGAGGACGTTATGTGCTAAGTGAAATAAGCTAGACACAGAAAGAAATATTGTCTTATATGTGGAATCTAAAAAAGTTGAACTCTGTCAGGCATGGTAGCTTATGCCTATAATCTCAGCAATTTGGGAGGCCAAGGTGAGTGGATCACTTGAGCTCAGAAGTTCGAGACTAGCCTGGGCAACAGGGTGAAACCCCCAAAAATAGAAAAAAAATACAAAAACTAGCCGGGTGTGGTGGCATGTGCCTGTAGTCCTAGCTACTTGGGAGGCTGAGGTGGGAGGATGACTTGAGCCCAGGAGGTGGAGCTTTCAGTGAGCCATGATTAAGTCACTGCACTCCATCCTGGGCAACAGAGCCAGACCCTGTCTCAAAAAATACATAAATAAAAATTAAAAAATTAAAAAGTTAAACTAATAAAAGCAGAGTCAAATGGTGGTTGCTAAGGGTCTGGGGATAGAGGAAATAGATGGATCCATTCATCCATCGATGGACATTTAGGTTTCCATATTCGGTCAAAGGGTACAAACTCCATTTATAAAGATGAATAAGTTCTGAGGGTCCGATGAATAGCATGGTTGCTGTGGTTAATAATGCTGTAGTGTTTACCTGAAATTTTCTAAGAGAGCAGATCTTAAAGTGTACTCACCACACACACATACACTCACACACAATGGTAATTATGTGTGGTAATGGATGTGTTAATTAATCTGTTTATGGTAATCATTACACAATGTGTACGATACACCTTGAATTTTAATTTGTGAATTATACCTCAGTAAAGCTGGGAGAAAAAGAATTCAAGTGTGTAAAGTGGCAGGCACATGGAAGGAACCAAGTAAAAAGTACTCATTTTATTATTACTGTTGTTGAAGATGGTAGGAAACTTCCTCTGCTCATCTGAATATCTCCAATCCATGGCACAGAACTTGACACCTAGTACCATCTCAATGGAAGTTTCACGGAATGAATTAATTGAATAATTGGGTCTCTGTTCTTATCAAAATACTCAGCAGCAAAGTATATGCACGGATTACTGTGATGTTCCCAATTTTTTTTCCTTCAGAGCCTGTGACACATTCTGGTAAGCATTCTCAGCACTGGCAGGTCTTCATCCATCACCTAATCCTGGTATTTTCAAGCTGGAGGGAAACTTAGAGATTATTTAATCCAATCGTGTTGCCTTAGACAGATAAATCTAAGACATCACTAAGGTCACATAGTTGGTCAGTAACAAATCAAGAAAGACTGGCTTCATAGCATAAGTGATTTTTTTTTTTTTTTTTTTGAGTGAGAGTCTCGCTTTGTCACTCTGTCACCCAGGCTGGAGTGCAGTGGTTCGATCTTGGCTCACTGCAACCTCCGCTTCCCAGGTTCAAGAGGTTCTCCTGCCTCAGCCTCAGCTGGGATTACAGGGTGCACCACCATGCCTGGCTAATTTTTGTACTGTTAGTAGAGACAAGGTTTCACCATGTTGACCAGGCTGGTCTCGAACTCCTGGCCTCAAGTGATCCACCTGCCTCAGCCTCCCAAAGTGCTGGAATTATAGGCATAAGCCACCAGGCCTGGCCTGCATAAGTAATTTAAAGTCATTTGCAGTTAAGTCTGGCAGTAACATGAGTGAATCAGCTGGGAAATATGGGTTGGTCCAAAATCAAGGTGTGCGTGAAAACAAACCAGACTGCCCTGCTCTCAGGGCGGTGAAGGTGATCTGAAAGAAGAGCCCCCACTACCCAGTGCGGAGATGCCATCACTGCTATGTGAGTTGCCTCCCAAGATGGCTGCTTTGAAGGAGAGTATCCAAACAGGCTTCACCAGCTCCCTGCCATGGTCACAAGTTTTTTTCTTTTTTCTTTTACTTTCTTTTTTTGTCAGTCAATCAGCTGACTATATTGACAAGATACTGATTGGTTCCACATTGAAGAAAACATACAATACAAAATACAGGCCAGGCGCAGTGACTTATGCCTGTAATCCCAGCACTTTGGGAGGCCCAGGTGGGTGCATCCACTGAGGTCACCAGTTTGAGAACAGCCTGGCTAACACGGTGAAACCCCGTCCCTACTAAAAATAGAGGCTGGGCCCAGTGGCTCACACCTATAATCCCAGCACTTTGGGAGGCCCAGGTGGGCGGATCACCTGAGGTCACCAGTTTGAGCCCAGCCTGGCTAACATGGTGAAACCCCGTCTCTATTAAAAATAGAGGCTGGGCCCAGTGGCTCACGCCTATAATCCCAGCACTTTGGGAGGCCAAGGAGGGTGGATCACCTGAGGTCTGGAGTTTGAGGCCAGCCTGGCCAACACGGTGAGACCCCGTCTCTACTAAAAATACAAAAATTAGCTGGGTGTGGTGGTGGGCACCTCTAATCCCAGCTGCTTGGGAGGCTGAGGCAGAAGAATTGCTTGAACCCGGGAGGTGGGGGTTGCAGTGAGCCGAGATCGTGCCACTGCACTCCAACCTAGGTGACGAGAGCGAAACTCCGTCTCAAAAAAATAGAATAAAAAAAATAAAAATATAAAAATTAGCAGGGTGTGGTGACACACACCTATAGTCCTAGCTACTCAGGAGGCTGAGGCAGGAGAATGGCTTGAACCTGTGAGGTGGAGGTTGCAGTGAGCCAATATCGTGCCACTACAGAGTGAGACTCCATCTCAAAAAAAACAAACAAAAACAAAAACAAAAAAAAACACAGAAAAAGTTGGTTCTATCCCCTCTCACTCCCCTCCCTCCCCATCCACCCCCAAATATTCATCATGGTGGCCGGGGAAGGTGGCTCAGGCCTGTAATCCCCACACTTTGGGAGGCTTCAGTGGGCAGATGGCTTGAGCTCAGGAGTTTGAGACCAGCTTGGGCAACACACCGAAACCTCGTCTCTACAAAAAAAAAAAAAAAAAAAAAAAAAAATAGCTGGGCTTGATTTGGTCAGAATAGGGCTCAGAGCCAGAGGTCAGGGTGACCGAGATGGAGGGGTTGTGGGCAATGGGCTCATGGATGTCGAGGTGTTTTTTTTAAAGACTCCTTTCCCAAGAGGTTGCAGACCTAGAGAACTGAAGCAATCTGACTCAACATCAGCTCTCAACATTTTGCTTCTGAGTCTCTGCCAGGCTTTCTACCCACCGCTTCCAACGTGATGCTCTGAAGACTTGCGCAGCTCAGGCTCCTTTTCTAAATTCCAGAACACTGAAAATGATGTGAGTGAATCTTTTCATTTTTTCTAAGGTTGGTACATAATGAGCACCACTCTGAATGCACAGTAGAGAAGTTAATTCATTAGAACAGTGGATGCCATGGGGCATCAGGGCTTAATTCTCTTGTGGAACCTGGTGGAGAAAGGACCCAGTGGGTTCTTCCTTTAATTCCCAATCTGTCATACTCTAGTGTGTCTTTGCTCCATGCCATTGAAGATATCAGTGCACCCTGCTCACCCCCGACTCCTGGCTCCCTCCAGCCTCACTGGGGATGTGCGGGCGGGGCAATGCTCTTGTCAGTAAAGGAATACTGATACATTTGGGTTTTTAAAAAATGGTCTTCTTTTCTTTTTCTTTTTTGAGACACAGTTTCACTCTGTCACCCACGCTGGAGTGCAGTGGCACAATCTCAGCTCACTGCAACCTCTGCCTCCCGGGTTCAAGTGATTGTCCTGCCTCAGCCTCCCAGTTAGCTGGAATTACAGGCGCCCACCACCATGCCCAGCTAATTTTTGTAGTTGAATTAGAGATGGGGTTTTGCCATGTTGGCCAGGCTGGTCTCAAACTCCTGACCTTAAGTGATCCCCCCCACCTCAGCCTCCCAAAGTGTTGGGAGCAGTGTGAGCCACTGCGCCTGGGTGAAAAAAAAATGTTTTTCTTTTAGTCATGTTAATATGAGGACAGATAACTAGGGAAAATAACAAACTAATCTTGTTTGGAATTTAAGGCAGCTGTGACTAATTAATGCATTAATTCCTGAAAATGAAAAGGCCTTCTTTGCTTCAGGATTCAGGATTCAAAATTCATGATTCAAGGTTCAGGATGTGAGTCCGCTCTTTTGAACTATGATTCCTAACCTCCTAGGCCCTCATTAAACACTTCTGCAGATCTTTGCCTGCACGGAGTATAGTTGTCTTCCAGAAAGTCTTCAAGATGAAAGGAAAACAATAACCTGCAAAATCTTTCTCCAGGGAAAGCGCCTTCATGTGAGCTAGGAGGAGTTCCAGTTTCCACATGAAGCGCTTGCTGATGGACAGTTAATTTCCCTGCTCACTGGCTCTGCTTTCCAGGTAGCACTGCAGGTATCACTTTATAATTTTAAAAAGCATTTCTTGAAGACCTTGGCAAAATTCTGAGACGAGTGGAAGAAATATGCCTCTAAAAATGACTGTTCCGTTTTGAACAAGGAAATCCTACATTTTTGTAAAGGGAGGAATGTTCTGTAATGGCAGCAAACAGATGTGTTTCCAAAAATAGATTGTAAGGCAGCGCTTATAAGGCTATTGAGAACCTTGGTTGTTACGTGAATGCTTTCTCAAAAAAACCTAAAAAAAAGTTCAGCCACTTAAGTGACCTTAAAAAAGCCTTAGCTAGGCAGGAGAATGGTGTGAACCCGGGAGGCGGAGGTTGCAGTGAGCCGAGATCGCACCACTGCACTCCAGCCTGGGCGACAGAGCAAGACTCCGTCTCAAAAAAAAAAAAAAAAAAAGCCTTAGCTGTGTGTGTGTGTGTGTGTGTGTGTGTGTGTGTGTGTGTGTGTGTGTTTATCCTCCACAGTCCGTGCAATGACAGCAAATTTTCCTGTAAGAGCTTTTTAAAGATGTTATTTTAATATTTAAATATATATATATTTTTAATAGAGACAAGGTCTCACTATCTTGCCTGGGCTGGTCTCGAACTTCTGAGCTCAAGGGATCCTCCTGCCTGGGCCTCCCAAAGTACTGGGATTACAGGCATGGGCCACCATGCCTGGCCCTGGAAGAGCTTTTAATAAAAACTTGCTGGGCATGGTGGCTTACCGAGGCAGGCGGATCACCTGAGGTCAGGAGTTTGAGACCAGGCTGGCCAACATGGTGAAACCCTGTCTCTACTAAAAGTACAAAAATTAGCCAGGCGTGGTGGTGGCGCCTGCAATCCCAGCTGCTCAGGAGGCTGAGGCAGGAGAATCACCTGAACCCGGGGGGTGGAGGTTGCAGTGAGCGGAGATCGAGCCACTTCACTCCAACCTGGGCGAAAGAGTGAAACTCTGTTTCAAAAAAAAAAAAAAAAAAAAAAGATTATGACACAGTTTGACAGATTGAGACACAGTTTCACTCTGTCACCCAGGCTGGAGTGCAGTGGCACGATCTCAGCTCACTGCAACCTCTGCCTCCCGGGTTCAAGTGATTGTACTGCCTCAGCCTCCCAGTTAGCTGGAATTACAGGCGCCCTGTAATTATGTAAAAGCATTTTACATAATGTTGTAAAATTATGTAATTATGTAAAAGCAGCTAAATGTCAATTATTAATGTAAGTGATTGTTATTTTGGAGTTTATTATAATTTTTTCTTTTTTTTTTTTTTGAGACAGAGTTTTCCTCTGCTGCCCAGACTGGAGTGCAGTGGCATGACCTCGGCTCACTGCAACCTCCGCCTCCCGGGATCAAGTGATTCTCCTGCCTCAGCCTCCGGAATAGCTGGGATTACAGGCATGCAGCACCATGCCTGGCTAATTTTTTGCATTTTTAGTAGAGACAGGGTTTCACCATGTTGGCCAGGCTGGTCTCAAACTCTTGACCTCAAGTGATCCGCCTGCCTCGGCCTCCCAAAGTGCTGGGATTACAGACGCGAGCCACCACACCCGGCCCTATAATATTGTTTTGATTTATAAATGTTTAAAAATATTTTATCATATAGTTCTAAAAAAATAAAAATAGGCTTGGCGCGGTGGCTCACGCCTGTAATCCCAGCACTTTAGGAGGCTGAGGCAGGTGGATCACGAGGTCAGGAGATCGAGACCATCCTGGTTAACATGGTGAAAACCCATCTCTACTAAAAATACAAAAAATTAGCCAGGCTAGTGGCGGGCGCCTGTAGTCCCAGCTACCTGGGAGGCTGAAGCAGGGGAATGGCGTGAACCCGGGAAGCAGAGCTTGCAGTGAGCCGAGATCGTGCCAGGGCACTCCAGCCTGGGTGACAGAGCAAGACTCTGTCTCAAAAAATAAAATAAAATAAAAATAAGTACAAATACAAATTTTAAGGCTGGGCATGGTGGCTCACACCTGTAATCCCAGCACTTTGGGAGGCCAAAGCCGGGGGGAGTGCTCAAGCCCAGGAGTTTGAGACCATCCTGGGCAACACAGAGACACCTTGTCTCTACAAAAAAATTAAAACATTAGCCAGGTGTGGTGGTGCATGCCTATATTTCCAGCTACTCAGGAGGCTGAAGTTGGAGGATTGCTTGAGCCCAGGAGGTTGAGGCTGCAGTGAGCGTGATCATACCACTACACTCCAGTCTGGACAAATTTAAAATTTTTTGAAGAGAAACTCTAATGCTGTATACCAATAAGTAATTTCTCACAAAAGAAACAGATGCATGTTGCAAGTGAAAATAATACTCAATGAAGCTGAAGTAGATTGTTTGTAAGCCTAGTGAAAAGCAAATTTTTTCAATGAATGTTGACAATAATTCATAATCAGACACAATGTTGGTATTTAACATGAGCATGAGCATGATAAAGAAATCAAGTTAAAACACAAAATGTTTTACTTACATTTATTCTTAATCTCAAAATGTACTTTTAGATTTAAAATGCACTTAATCTCAAAATGTACTTTTAGATTTTGAAAAAGTTTTAGTTTTTTAAAAATTGTAATAAAAATTGATCTTATCCATTTAAATGAACTATAATCTGAATACTAGTTGATTAAAAAATGAGTTAAATTTACAAATTATTTATATGAAGGAATAATTCCTATAAATTGTAGGAATTGCATGATTCCTACAAATCAGGATCGAGATTGCTTCATTTGTGGCTGTCATAGTAATGACAGGATCCCATACAGAGCTGTGTGTTACTATTTGGGTTTCGATGTGTCTCAGGTCATGTTGTCTCTGAGGATGCTAACAGAAGAATGCTTTCTCATGACCGACTTCAACAGCAGGCACTTTGCATAGATTTAACTATAGTGCAGATTTGAGTTTAGTCACAGCATTACTCTGGCCACCATTGGAGTACAGGCACATCTAAAATGTTTTCTGACGGTCTATTAGAACCAGTCTTAAAAACATGTATTTGAAAGTGAAGCTCAAGAGCCTCCTGGGCCAGAACTCACTCTAAGGATAGAAGAGACCAGACATAAAGACTTGATCATTGGAAGACGGTGAGGATTCTGAATAGAATAGAGTGGGTTTTGCTCTAATTTTCTAATCAGTCAGGGGATCTCAAAGATGAAACCAAGGATCCCCTAAAGTCAGGATAACTTGAGGAAAGTTTGGGGACGTTTTACAAAGGTGGGTAGACAGGGAACCTCAGGGACAGTTAAAGCCAGGGGAGATTTTTGCTATACTCTGTATATGCCTGTGTGTGTGTCTGTGTGTGAAAGAGACAGACACAGATTTTTTGCAGGGATTTGACCTCCCACAGTTGTGGAAGTGATTAAGCAGGCTCTGTAAGACTTGTCTTTGTGTGTGATGCTAGAACTTGACGCCCAGGGAGTGAAGAGCTGGGAAAGATGGATGTGTAGTGTTGGGGAGCAAGAGCCGGCTGGGACCCACTGGCATGAGTTGGAGCCCCATGAGAAACTAAAATCCATGTCCATTTTTCTTAACTCTGACCTTACTGGTGTGGGTATCCTGCGGAAGTCAGGGCCTCTTGCCCAGAGCTAAACACACACCTGGCCTAGGAGGCAAAGAAGCTGAAAGGGGAGCAGTTGCAGGCTGCTGCCTCCTGGCCATGACAGCCCGCAGACTAGCAACCATACATGTGACTTTAAAAACTGCTATCACCGGGCGTAGTGGCTCACACCTGTAATCCCACCACTTTCGGAGGCCGAGGTGGGAAAACCATCTCAGGTTGGGAGTTCAAGACCAGCCTAACATGGAGAAACCCCATTTCTACTAAAAATACAAAATTAGCCAGGCTCGGTGGCGCATACCAGTAATCCCACTTACTCAAGAGCCTGAGGCAGGAGAATCCCCTGAACCCAGGAGGCAGAGATTGCAGTGAGTCGAGATCACACCACTGCACTCCAACCCGGTGTCAGAGCCACTCTCAAAAAACAAATGAAAAAACAGCTACTGCTTCCTTTCTGCTGCCAAATCTCTCACAGGAAGATTTAGAAAAGGAGTTCTGGGAAATCAGTCCTAGCCACCTTGACACATTAAAAACTCCACAGCCCTCTGCATGACTGTTTAAATACTCGATACTCAAATTCCGAAACAGGCTCAACACTACCTCCAGAATCTGGACTGATCTTTCTGGTTTCCTTTTCTTGAGATAGGATCTTATAGGCACCCAGATTTGAACGCAGTGGTGTAAACTTATTAGAACACTTAACTCCTGAGCTAAAGTAATCCTTTGGTAAATTCTTAGGTTCAAGCAATCCCCCCACGACCTCAGGCTCGCAAGTATCTTGGACTGTAGATACCTACTGCGTCCAATATTGAGTAGGTTCTTGCTTCACACTAACTTCAAGAATGGGCCGGGCGCGGTGGCTCACGCCTGTAATCCGAGCACTTTGGGAGGCCGAGGCGGGTGGATCATGAAGTCAGGAGATCGAGACCATCCTGGCTAACAAGGTGAAACCCTGCCTCTACTAAAAATACAAAAAATTAGGCGGGCGCGGTGGCGGGCGCTTGTAGTCCCAGCTACTCGGGAGGCTGAGGCAGGAGAATGGCGTGAACCTGGGAAGCGGAGCTTGCAGTGAGCCGAGATTGCGCCACTGCAATCCGCAGTCTGGCCTGGGCGACAAAGCAAGACTCCCTCTCAAAAAAAAAAAAAAAAAAAAAAAAAAAAAAAAACCAGACTTTCCTAGTTAAGTATTAGTTCTTAAAAACAGCAAATCCAGAGTCTGCTCTTTTCTGATGTGCTGTGAGTCGACGCTTTCTGCTGGTGGGTTCGTGATCTTATTGGCTCAGAAGTGAGACTGCAAACCTTCACAGTGAATGTCATTAACTCTTAAAGCAGCGTGACTGAAGTTCTGTGTTATTTCCACCAAGTTCGTGGTCTTACTGGCTGAAAAACTGAAACAGCAGACCTTTTCGGCAAGTCTTATAACTCACAAACACAGCACAATAAATCAAAGGTAAAACAACAATGCACCTATACTATGAAAACAAATTTTTAACAAGTTACCAGTACTAGCTTGGGCAGCCTGCATTTATTCTCTTATCTGGCCCCACCCACATCGCACTGATTGGTCCATTTACAGAGAGCCAATTGGCCCATTTTACAGAGAGCTGATTGGTCCGATTTGACAGGATGCTGATTGGTGCATTTACAATCCCTGAGCTAGACACAAAAGTTCTCCATGTCTCCACTAGATTAGCTAGACACAGTGTCCATTGGTGCATTCACAAACCCTGAGCTAGACACAGGGTGCTGATTGGTGTGTTTACAAACCTTGAGCTAGATACAGAGTGCCGATTGGTGTATTTACAATCCCTTAGCTAGATATAAAAGTTCTCCAAGTCCCCATCAGAGTAGCTAAATACAGAGTGTCGATTGGTGCATTCACAAACCCTGAGCTAGACACAGGGTGCTGATTGGTGTGTTTACAAACCTTGACCTAGATAGCGTGCCGATTGGTGTATTTACAATCCCTTAGCTAGACATAAAGATTCTCCAAGTCCCCACCAGACTTAGAAGCCTAGTTAGCTTCACCGAATGGATCCGGTATGGCGGCCACAGGTAGAGCTGCTTGCTAGTCTCGTGCTCTGTATCCGCACTTCTCAGCCCTTAAGTGGTTGATGGGACTGGGTGCTGTGGAGAAGAGAGCGGCGCCCGTTGGGGAGGCTCCGGCGGCACAGGAGCCCACAGAGTTGGGGGAGGTTCAAGGCATGACAGGCTGCAGGTCCTGAGCCCTACCCCGCGGGGAGGTAGCTAAGGCGCGGCGAGAAATTGAGCACAGCAGCTGCTGGCCCAGGTGCTAAGTTCCTCACTGCCCGGACCTTGCGAGTCGGCCGGCCGCTCCGAGTGCGGGGCTCGCTGAGCTCACGGCCACCCAGAACTTGGGCTGGCTAGCGCGGCGCGCAGTCCCGGTTCCCGACCGCGCCTCTCCCTCCACACTTCCCTGCAAGCTGAGGGAGCTGGCTCCAGCTTTGACCAGTCCAGAAAGGGGCTCCCACAGTGCAGCGGCGGGCTGAAAAGCTCCTCAAACGCGGCCAGAGTGGGTGCTAAGGCTGAGGAGGCGCCCAGAACGAGCGAGAGCTGTGAGGGTTGCCAGCATGCTGTCTCCTCTCAATCCTACCACCACGTGCAGCTAATTTATGTTTACTTTTAAAATTAAAACTCCTGGCCAGGAAGCAGTTGCTCATGGCTGTAATCACAGCACTTTGGGAGGTGGAGGCGGGTAGATCACCTGAGGCCAGGAGTTTGAGACCAGCCTAGCCAATATGGCGAAAACCCGTCTCTACCAAAAATACAAAAATTAACCGGGGGTGGTGCCACATGCCTGTTGTCCCAGCTACTCGGGAGGCTAAGGTGGGAGAATCGCTTGAACCCGGGAGGCGGAGGTTGCAGTGAGCCGAGGTTGCGCCATTGCACTCTAGCCTGAATGACAGAGCAAGACTGTCTCCAAAAAGTAAAAATAAAAAGCCTGTAATTCCAGCACTTTGGAAGGCTGAGGTGGGAGGAATGCTTGAGGCCAGGAGTTTGAGATTAGACTGGGAAACAGACCTCCCCAGCTCCCCCCACTCCCCACTGACCTTCTCTACTTTAAAAATTTTATTTATGTATTTATTTTTGAGATGGAGTTTCACTCTGTCACCCAGGCCGGGGTGCAGTGGCGCAATCTCAGCTCACTGCAACCTCCACCTCCTGGGTTCAAGCGATTCTCCTGCCTCAGCCTCCCCAGTAGCTAGATTACAGGTGCATGACACCACACCCGGCTAATTTTTGTACTTTTAGTAGAGCCGGGGTTTCACCATATTTGCCAGGCTGGTCTCCAACTCCTGACCTCAGGTGACCTGCCCGCATCGGCCTTCCGAAGTGCTGAGATTATAGGCATAAACCACCGCGCCCGACCTAAAATACTTTTTTTTAATTAACAGACGTGGTTGTGCACACCTGTGGTCCCAACTACTCTGGAGGCTGAGGTTGCGGGGCTGCTTTAGTCCAAGAGTTTGAGGCTGTGGTGAACTATGATCATGCCATTGGAGTCCTGCCTGGGCAACGGAACAAGACCCTGTCTTTAAAAAAATAAAATAAAGCTGGGCGCGGTGGCTGACGCCTGTAATCCCAGCACTTTGGGAGGCCGAGGCGGGTGGATCACCTGAGGTCAGGAGTTCGAGACCAGCCAGGCCAACATGGCGAAACTCTGTTTCTACTAAAAATACACAAATTAGCTGGGCATGGTGGCAGATGCCTGTAATCCCAGCTACTCAGGAGACTGAAGCAGGAGAATTGCTTGAACCTGGGAGGTGCAGGTTGCAGTGAGCCAAGATCACACCATTGCACTCCAGCCTGGGTGGCAGAGCAAGACTCTGTCTCAAAAATAATAATAATAAGTAAAAAATAAATGAGCATTGCAAATCACTATGAAGGTATGTTTGTCAAGGATGATAGATACAACATAGCTGACAGTTTTCTTTATTTATAAATTTTAAATATTTAGACTTTGTGAGGGAAGAGTGTCTGTGTCAGTAGCTGGGAAGCCAACCCAAGATAATTTATGTTGAGTAAATATTCCCTAGGTGGGCACTATCCACTTTTTTCTTATTCAGGTTAGCAGTAGCATGCACCAAGTCAGAAAGACTCGTCAACTCTTTTTAGATTTTTATTTTTTGAATTCACATGATTCAAAATTCAAAAGGAAGAAGTGATATTCAATGAAAAATGTGGACAAGAAATACTGCGTTTCTTATGTTCCCTTTGAGAGATATTCTCTACATATATAAACAAATTTGTACCTTTATATCCCCCTTTACACTATTTTAACCTAAATTTTAGCATATTACTTGTACTGTTCTTCACCTTGCTTCGTCACTTAATAAGATATCTTAAAGTTTTTGTTTGTTTGTTTGTTTTTAAAGAGACAGAGTCTTGTTCTGTCACCCAGGCAGGAGTGCAGTGGCACGATCATAGCTCACTGCAGCCTCAAACTCCTGGGCTCAAGCAATCCTTCTGCCTCAGCTTCATAAGTAGCTAGGACTACAGGTGTATGCCACCACAACTGGCTAATTCTTAAATTTTTTGTAAAGATGGGATCATGCTATGTTGCCCAGACTGGTCTCAAACTTCTGACCTTAAGGGATCCTCCTGTCTTGTCCACTCATAGCCTTCGGATTACAGGCGTGAGCCACTGCATTCAACCTTAAAGATTGTTTTGTATTAGTACATGAAGAGCTTCTTTATTCTTTGTTTACAGCTGCGTAAGTTTTTGTTTTTTTAGACAAGGTCTCACTCCCGTCACCCATGCTGGAGTACAATGGCGTGATCACTGCAGCCTCGACTTTCCAGGCTCAGCGGATTCTCCTACCTCAGCCTCCAGAGTAGCTGGTACTACAGGAGTGTGCTACCACACCTGGCTAATTTTTTGTATTTTTAGTAGAGATGGGGGTCTCACTATGCTGCCCAGGGTGGTCTCAAATTCCTGGGCTTAAACAATCCACTGGTCTTGGCCTCCCCAAGTGCTGGGATTACAGGTGTGAGCCACCATGCCCAGCCAGGCTGCATAATATTTTAGGATTTATTTAATTAGTTCCTTATTGAATGTACATTTAGATTGTTAACAATATTTTACTATTACAAACAATGCCAAAGTGAACGACAGTGTCTCATTCTATTGCCCAGGCTGGCGTTGAGTGGTGCAATCATGGTTCACTCCATTGAACTCTCAGGCTCAATCCATCCTCCCGCCTCAGTCAAGTTGCTGAGATTACTGGCGTGCACCATCACCATGCCTGGCTAATTTTTGTATTTTTTGTTAGAGACGGGGTTTTGCCATGTTGCCCAGACTGGTCTCAAACTCCTGAGCTCAAATGATCTGCCCATCTTCGCCTCCCAAAGTGTGTTTAACATTTTGAAAGTCCGTTACCATGCAGAAAGGATTTTGAAATTCTCCCATTAGCACTTTTATTTTATTTTAACATTTAAACCCTTAATCCTTTCTGAATTTATTCTAGTATATGAGGTAAGAATCCAACATTGTTTTCTAGATGGCTACCAATTGTCCCAACACAATTTATTAAACAGTCTTTTTCCTACTAATTAGGAATGCCACCTTTATCAGGTAGTAAATTTCCATTTGGACTTGGGTCTTTTTCTCTAGGTTTTAGGTGATTCTCCTAATCTGCCTCAGCCAGATACTTTGGCCTGTATTTTATTAGTCTGGTATTATTAAAAAAAAAAAAAAGGCATATATCCAAGACTCTGGCACAAATCTATTCAAACTCCATTCAGAGCAATATATGCAATGGATGAATTGTTCTCTGGGGGAAATATTTAAAAATCCCACATCTGCTAAAATCCAGTCTTCTTCATATGTTGAGGCTGATCTCCAAACCATAACTATTGTCAGTATTGGTCAATGAATCTTGATTTCAGAGTGAAATAGTGTTGAGTGTCAGGTTTTTTTGCTTTGTTTTGTTTTTTGTTTTATTTTTTGAGATGGAGTCTCACTCAGTTGCCCAGGCTGAAGTGCAGTGGCGCAATCTCGGCTCACTGCCACCTCCACCTCCTGGGTTCAAAAGATTCTCGTGCCTCAGCCTCCCAAGTAGCTGTGATTACAGGCACGTACCACCGTGCTGGCTAATTTTTGTATTTTTTTTAGTAGAGATGGGGTTTTGCCATTTTGGCCAGGCTGGTCTCAAACTCCAGACCTCGGGTGATCCACCCACCTTTGCCTCCCAAAGTGCTGGGATTGCAGGCATGAGCCACAGCACCTAGCCCCCCGAGTGTCAGTTTTGATTGTTTTTATGGGTCAAATTAGTATGTTGGTGAACTGCGCTTATGGTTAGGGTAACAAACAGATCCTACCATTTCTCTGTTCACCTTCTTACCTTCTCCCAAAGCATGGTTCTGGTTTTGTTTTGTTTCAATCAACAACCTACATACATTTAATTGATATCCTAACCTCAAACCACCCTCTTCTCGATACTAGAGGCATTTTGATTTGTAGGCAGCTTTGAGAGAGCTCCAGGACTATGCCTTGTGGACCGCCAACTTTGGGGCATGTAATTGACCGAGGAGCAGGCTGTGCTCTAAAATTTACTGAAGTGTTTGTGCTGAGGTGAGGCCTCTCAAAAGTTGCTACTCCCAGCCCGTGACTGAGGACAGCAGGGATGTTAAGGCAGGTCTGGAAGACAGGGAATGCCTGTCATAGCTGCCTTGGGCTTCAGGACTACCTAGTGGCCTTGTTGAGCCTTCTTTTGACTGCAGAGTAGTTGAGGACACTTCTGCCCAGCTTCCTCTCCTCCTTCACTTAGGGTCCGGTTTGCATGGTGGTTTGATGTTTCTCCCAGTCTTACCCAGCTTTCTCCCATTTTTTCTCACACAGGCACTTCCCCTAATAAAGTTCCTGCACATAACCCTGATTTGACATCTGATTCTTGGAGGAGCTGAATTAATGCGAGCTTCCCATTCTTACAGCCATTAAATGTATTGTTTGGTAGTTTCCTACACACCCATCACAAGCAGTTGTATGTTGGATCTTTGCTTTACTTTCCAACTGTGTGTTAGGAATAGCTCTTTTGCTCAATTCAGTATAGTACCCTGCCTCTTACCCATAGAGATGCAGTCACAGATCATTACATCTGTATGGCAGTAAGTTAGGACTCTGAGACTTCAGTGGTCACATACCAGGAATGAATGGAATATTCATCTTAAGAACAATTGGTGCCTGATGAATAACACAAAGAGGTAATTTCAATCTGAGTTTCATAGAGGGTGTACCCAAAGAACAGAACTGTTCCTGGAGGCTGAGATCACACTTTTGTTTGTAGGTGAAGCAGGATTAATGCATCACCCTGCTGAATGATGAGCAGACACACCCTTGAATTTAGTTAAATATGCACCCTTCCTGCCTTTACTCAAGAAGTTCAGTGTTTCCAAAGCTATGATTTAAGGGTAAACATTCTTCCTCTCTGCATCTTAGGGCTTCTGATATTCTGGAGAAACCAGTGTTATCTGAGTGTCAAAGCTCAGTTATTAACCCTTTCTCAGAGTTTCTGGATAATGTTATTAGCTTTCAAGCACGTGATGCTTCTCAAGAGAGCTGTTGACTTCCAGTCTGACCAAATTCTTTCACGTCGTGGCGTGTACGATGTATAAAAGTTTTGGAATGTCTCTGAGATGACTTCTTCAGGTGAGTCTTTCCTCTGAATGTCTTTGGGGCTAGAACAGTCATGTCCATTTCATTGTTGATTAGGTGTCTGTGTAAAAAAGAATTTTTAAATGCTTTACTTAACAGCTGTGATTAACACTGAGTATTTGGATCCTTATGTGTCAGCTATAGACATTTCATCTCTCATCATTAAATATTTCTGCTTCTTTCACTGAACAGAGGAGGATGTATGTGAGCAACATATGGGTGGAGTTGATCTGAACAAGAATTTAGGGAGGAGAAAATTGTACAATCTCTATAATTTTTTTAGGGAGAGGCTGAATCTACCTCACTAACTTTTATTAGGCTTGGCTCAAAGGCTCCTATCCGTTCATAGACCATCTGAGTTTGGTATGTCAGCTGAAATAATGTGCAGCTCTACCTTTATTTATTTATTTATTTATTTATTGAGACGGAGTTTCGCTCTTGTCCAGACTGGAGTGTAATGGCACGATCTCGGCTCACTGCAACTTCTGCCTCCCAGGTTCAAGCAATTCTCCTGCCTCAGCCTCCCAAGTAGCTGGGATTACAGACGTGTGCCACCACATCTGGCTAATTTTGTGTAGTTTTAGTAGCGACGGAATTTCACCATGTTTGCCAGGGTGGTCTTAAACCCCTAGCCTCCCTATGTTGCACAGGCTGGTCTCAAACTCCTGGCTTCAAACGATCCTCCCATCTCAGCCTCCCAAAGTGCTGGGATTGCAGGTGTGAGCCATGGCACCCCGCCTCCATAAATAATTTTTAAATAAATAGAATGCGTTTGGGAAAAGCTGCATACCATATTTTCCTCTTGAAGAGCAACAATGCACATTAGCAAATTGTGTCCTGTAACAGACCAGTAGTAAAGTTTTGGTTTTTTTTTTGAGACGGAGTTTTGCTCTTGTTGCCCAGGCTGGAGAGCAATGGCAGGATCTCGGCTCACTACAACCTCCGCCTCCCAGGTTCAAGCAATTCTCCTGTCTCAGCCTCCTGAGTGGCTGGAATTACAGGCGCCCACCACCACACCCAGCTAATTTCTGTATTTTTGGTAGAGACAGGATTTCATCATATTGGTCAGGCTGATCTTCAGCTCCTGACCTCAGGTGATCCACCCGCCTTGGCCTCCCAAAGTGCTGGGATTACAGGCATGAGCCGCTGCACCCAGCCAAGAAAGTTTTTTGGTTTTTTTTTTCTTTTGTTTTTTGAGACAGATTCTCTGTCACCCAAGCTTGAGTGCAGTGGCATGATCTTTGCTCATTGCACCTTCCGCCTCCCTGGTTCAAGCAATTCTCATGCCTCAGCCTTCCTAGTAGTTGGGATTAGAGGCCCCTGCCACCGTGCCTGGCTAATTTTTGTATTTTATGTAGAGACAGTTTCACCATGTTAGCCAGGCTGGTCTCGAACTCCTGACCTCAGGCGATCTGCCTGCCTGGGCCTCTCAAGAGTGTTGGGATTACAGGTGTAAGCCTTGGCGCCAAGCCTGAAAGTTTAAACTTTCATTCATCCAACATTTCCTATGCAGTATGTCCACATATATCTTTGTGTAACAGTGGTGCACATCCTTTAGAACTAATGCTATGCAGAACAGTTTGGGAAATGGTAACCTGCTCCATGCACTCTCCTTATTTGGCTGGTGAGTCACCAAAAAAAAAAAGCAAAATAGGAATTTTAAACCCGACCTAACTACAGTGAAACTCAGAAATATACAAATTGCAATGACCTTAAACCCCAAGAAAAACAAGGCCTAAAATTATAGTAAATGCTTCGAGGGGCAAATTGTCACCTGGTTTAGATGGAAACAGAGATCTGAGCAGCCTGCTGTTTTTCAACATTATCTGAGCTGTCTCCTGGTTAGAGAAAAAGCTATTTCCAACTGGACGCCCTCTGGTCATCATTTACACTTCTTTGGTTTGACAAACAAAAGAATGCTTACTTCAGTCTTATTGGCCGCTAATCAGCCATTTGCTAAGAAAACATCAGGTTTTTAAACACCCATTTATTTATTCGTTTATTTCAGACACACAACCTTGCTGTATTGCTCAAACTAGATTTGCACTCCTGGAATCCAGTAGATCCTTCTACATCCAGAATTGGTGGGTTCTTGGTCTGACTTAAAGAATGAAGCCACAGACCCTCACAGTGAGTGTTACGGTTCACTAAAAGCAGTATGTCTGGGCGTTCCTTTATTTTTTTCTGATGTTCATCACGTGTTCAGAATTGTTTTCTATTAGTGGGTTCCCAGTTTCACCAGCTCAGGAGTGAAAATGCAGACCTTCACGGCGAGTATTACAACCCATACACACAAGGCTGACCCAAACAATGAACAGCAGCAAGACTTACTATAAAGAACCAAAAAAAAAAAAAAAATTTAAAAAACACCCACAAGGGAGAACAAACCTCGACAAGTTACCACAGCTAGTTTGGGCAGCCTGCTTTTATTCTCTTATCTGGCCCCACCCACATTCTGCTGATTGGTCCACTTTATAGAGAGCTGATTGGTCTGTTTTACAGAGCGCTGATTAGCCCGTTTTGACAGGGTGCTGATTAGTGTGTTTACAATCTCTGAGCTAGACACAAAAATTCTCCAAGTCCCCACAGAGCACTGATTGGTGCATTTACAAACCTTGAGCTAGACACAGGGTGCCGATTGGTGTGTTTACAAACCTTGAGCTAGATACAGAGTGCTGATTGGTGTGTTTACAAACATTGAGCTAGATACAGAATGCTAATTAGTGTATTTACAATCCCTTAGCTAGACAAAGATTCTCCAACTCCCCACCAGCCTCAGGACCCCAGCTGGCTTCAACTACTGGATCCCGCACCGGGGCCGCAGGTGCAGCTGCCCGGCAGTCCCGCGCAGTGTGCCCACACTCCTCAGCCCTTGGGCGGTCGATAGGACCGGGCGCTATGGAGCAGAGGGCGGCGATTGTCGGGGAGGATCGAAGGCGCAGGAGCCCACGGCGGCGGGGGGGAGGCTCGGACATGGCAGGCTGCAGGTCCCGAGCCCTGCCCCGCAGGGAGGCGGTTGAGGCCCGGCCAAAATTCGAGGCAGCGCCGGCGGGCCGGCACTGCTGAGCGGTGACAGCGTGCTGGCAGCTTTCTCAGCCCTTGCTCTCCGTGCCTCCTCTGCCTCAGCGCCATTCTGGTAGCGCTGGAGAAGCCCTTCTCTGGGCTGGCCGAGGCGGGAGCCGGCTCCCTTGGCTTCAAAGGAGGTGTAGAGGGGGACGCATGGGCGGGAACCAGGGCTGCGCGCGGCGCTTGCGGGCCAACTAGAGTTCCGCGTGGGTTTGGCAGGCCCCGCAGTTGGAGCGGCCTGGCCGGCTCTGCCGGCCCCGGGCAGAGGGGCTTAGCACCCGGACCAACAGCTGCGGAGTGTGCGCCGGGTCCCCCAGCAGTGCTGGCCCACTAGTGCTGCGCTCGATTTTTTGCCAAGCGTTAGCTGCCTCGCCGCAGGACAGTGCTCGGGACCTGCAGCCCGCCATATAGTCCACCCCTGGCGGTGGGCTCCTGCGCGGCCTAAGCTTCTCCGACGGGCGCCGCCCCTATGCTTCACGGCGCCCAGTCCCATCAAACGCCCAAACACTGAGAAGTGTAGGCGTCCGGCGCGGGGTTGACAGGCAGCTCCACCTGCAGCCCTGATAAGAGATCCACTAGGTGAGACTAGCTGGGCTCACTGAGTCTAGTGGGGGCTTAGAAAAAACCTTTATGTCTAGCTAAGGGATTGTAAATACACCAATCAGCATTCTGTGTCTAGCGCAAGGTTTGTAAACACACCAATCAGCACCCTGTGTCTAGCTCAGGGTTTGTAAATACACCAATGGACACTCTGTATCTAGCTAATCTAGTGGGGATGTGGAAAACTTTTGTGTCTAGCTCAGGAATTGTAAACACACCAATCAGCACCCTGTCAAAACGGACCAATCAGCTCTCTGTAAAACAGACCAATTGGCGCTCTGTAAAATGGACCAATCAGCAGGATGTGGGTGGGGCCAGGTAAGAGAATAAAAGCAGGCTGCTAGAACTAGTAGTAGTAAATAATGAAAACGTTTAGTATCTTGGTATGTGTAGGATTAAGTGCTTTGGATGTTTGAGTTTTGTTTGCTGTGGTTTTATGGATTGTAATGCCACGAAGATCTGTAGCTTTAATGTTTTTAGTTAGTGATAAAAGTGTGAATCCGCCAAGAGAAATAAGTAAGTGCTGATGTGTTGGTTTGAGAGCTGTAATATTCACTGCTAAGGTCTGTAATTTCTCTCCTGAGCCAGCAAGATAGTAAACCCGCCAGAAAGAAAAAACTTCAGAGACACTACTTTCTACAACTGTAATGCTCACTGTGAGGGTCTGCAGTTTCATTTTTGTAAGTCAGACCAAAAACCTGATTGTGGCCGTTGGGGAACTCTGCGTCCTTTGTAGCTACTGGTGTGAGTGTAAATTTTCTGTTGAGGGCCAGCAGTGTTTGTTAACTCTCCGGGAGTGCGGGGTGGCAGAGCCCAGGCCTGCACACCCGGAACTCGAGCTGGTTTGCAAGGGCTGCTGCAGGCCTGATTCTTGCCTGCGCCTCTCCATACGTGCCTGCAAGCTGAGGGAGTCGGCTTGGGCCTCAGTTATTCCAGAAGAGCTCCCACCGTGCAGCAGCGAGCTGAAAAGCGACTCAAGGAGGGCCAGGGTGGGTGCCGAGGCCTAGAAGGCCCCGTGAGTGAGTGAGAGGGCTGAGGGTTGTTAGCGCACTGTCATTTCTCAGTTTCCTGAATGGCTGAGACTGCAAGTGTGTGCTACCACACGTTTGGCAACATCAGTTTTTCTTTTTGAGACAGGCCCTTATTCTTGCCTAGGCTGGAGTAGAATAGCATAATTATGACTCACTGCAATCTTCGCCTACTGAACTCATAAGCCTAGCATCCCAGCCTCCTGAGTAACTGGGACTACAGGTGTGCACCACCCTGGCTGGCTAACTTTTTTTGTATTTTTTGTAGAGATGAGGTTTTGCCGTGTTGCCCAGGCTGGTGTCAAACACCTGGTCTCAAGTAATCCACCTGTCTCCATCTCCCAACGTGCTGGGATTACAGGCGTAAGGTACCACACCCAGCCCCAGTGTTTAATTGTAGAACTGAGATAAAATCTTACCTACGTTGCTATCAAAGGAATTACTGTGAAACATTTGAAGCTTAAGCCTCAGGTCCTTCATTTAGATGTGCCTTTTTTATAGCTTTTTGCAAATTCTGTACGCTAAGTAATACTTGGCACAGTAAACTTAAGTTTCTTAATGAGCACCCCGAGTGTATAAACTCCAGACCTCATGCAATTTGGATCCCGTACTAATTGGGCGTGGTAAGTAACCAGACTGGAAGCTCCGTGAGGGCAAGAGTCCCCCAAGCCCAGCATTCAGAACCTGGCTGACAAGTGATAGGAGTTTAATAAACGTTTGTTGAGGACTGAGTGCTTGAAGATCATGTACATTTAATAAGGATCTGGAAAATAGTCATTATTAAGTGGCATTTTTTTGTATAAGGTGTCAGGCAGAAAGGAAAAACGCACTCAAAGATGTTTACATGCAGAAATATGCAAATGTGATTGGTTTCGAATCCACCCACAATACCTACGAAGAGTTTTCAACATCATAGGAACAAATTGCAGGTTTAGAAGTGTAAACTTTTCCCTTTGCTCTAAAATGAATTTGCTTTTTCCCACTTACTGTCATCTAGTAGAGACCATCTTTGGAAGACAGCTGTGGCAGTTTGCCCTTGTCTGCAAGAGCTTGCCAAAGGGGACACTGATGCAACATTAATCATATTCCAAGCTCCATACAGTGCAGGTGAAGTCATTAGAACAGCAAACACCCTGTCTGTTCCTTAAGAGACAGATGATTTTCATTCGGTGATAACTGGTATTTTTTGTGATAATGATGGGGAAGGTGAGGGCTTCACGAAAGCCGGTCAGCAATCAGTTGGGAACACAGGAACAGTGGTGTGTGTGTGCGCATGCACTCACATGGTCTTTGTTATAGCTGCCTCTGTAAATGGAGGGAAAAAAAACAAAAAAACAAAACAAAACAAAAAAACCAGCTGAATCCCCTGGGAATAGCAATTAACTGCAGCTTCAGTGCCTGAGCTAGTAATACAGTGAGCACGAAGACATTGCTGGGCTAGAAAGGTTTTGCTGTTCTTTCCTCCTCCGCTCCTCCTACCTTCTCTGGAATCCTTCCTCGAAGGCGCTCACCCTGCTCATTATCATAAAGAATGGCTGGAATGTGAGGATGACTGGGACTCACCCTGCCGTTCCATTGTCTGAATCTTAAACACTGCTCTAGTCTAGTCAAAGGAAATGAAAACAGAGGGACAACCCAGCTTATAAACACTGGGTACAAGATGTCAGTGCCATCGCTGCTCCCTGGAACACTGCTGTTTGTCACACAGAGCCCCATCTGTTTAAAGCAGAGGAATGCTCTTTGCTTGAAGAGGAAAGGATGAATTGATAGCAATATTCCCTAGCTTTTTCATTAGAGGGTTTGAAAAATAGCCTTTCCGAAGAATGACACCTTTATGTATAATCCAATTGAGCTATGAATTTAAGAACATTACTGGGCTGAGGTTTTCATCTGCTTTGATCAAGCCTAAGGTATGGCAGGCCTCCAAACCTTTCCTTTGAGAATGCTGCTGTTAATGAATTTCGTAAATCTGACAAGTTTTTGCTGCCCCCTCAAAAAAGTATTTGGCTTAATTTTATGGTGAGCAGAATTCAAAAGGCAAAAGGAAGGAAAATAACAGCTTTATTTTTTGAGACAGGGTCTCGTGCTGTTAGCCAGTCTGAAGTGCAGTGGCGCAGTCTCAGTTCACTGAAGCCTCCACCTTCTGGGCTCAAGCGATCCTCTTCCCTCAGAATAGCTGGGACTACAGGTGCACCCCATCAAGCCTGGCTAATTTTTGTGTTTTCAGTAGAGATGGTTTCACCACGTAGCCAGGCTGGTTTTGAACTCCTGACTTCAAGTGATCCGCCCTCCTCGGCCTCCTAAGGATTGAGGAAAAATAATTCAAGTATGGTTTGCAAATTCCTTTATACAATATGCTGATTTGCTGGCACCAGCTGAATAGCTGCAACATTTTGGGTACCACTCAGGAGTGGTCATAGAAGAGAGTGGGGAAGGGAACAAACAAAATAACCCAGAGAAAATAAAACTATACTTGAATTATTTTTCCCCAGTCCATTACCTATTAGGAACGCTGGAGGCCATAGGTATCGGTTGAGGAAAGGCAGCCATGCAGCAGGAGTAGGTGGTGTGGAAGTCATGCAAATTATAGCTGCTTTTATGACCGCTCAAGGCCAGTCTTGACTACATCATTTTCACTTGATGGCAGGTAGAGCGGTGAAGGGCTGATTGGAAGTGGTGGGGTGTGTGTGTGTGCTGCTTTTCAACCTGTGGCCCTCAGAACAGGGTGATCATGTGCCAAGGGTTTTCACACCAGAATGACACACAAATGTCAGCTTGTAGAAATTTTATTTTCTGGGATTATTTTCTATAGAGAAGATCTCTCCAATTTTCTTCCTAAAGAATAGGAGCCTGACTGCCAACTTTCTGGCAGAAAGACAAGGAAAGAGATTTATGCAGGGTCTCACGATGCTGCGTGTAGATATTCACTTAACAGTATCTCCCTTGGAATGTACCAATGTTCTTACCTAGAGAAGTTCTGGTCAGATTTTTTTTTTTTTTTTGAGACAGTCTCGCTCTGTTGCCTAGGCTAGAGTGCAGTGGCGTGATCTCAGCTTACTGCAACCTCTACCTCCCGGGTTCAAGCAATTCTGTCTCAGCCTCCCAAGTAGCTGGGACTACAGGCACATGCCACCACGCCCAGCTAATTTTTTGTATTTTTAGTAGAGACGGGGTTTCACCATATTAACCAGGATGGTCTCGATCTCCTGACCTCGTGATCTGCCTGCCTCAGCCTCCCAAAGTTCTGGGATTACAGGTGTGAGCCACTGCCCCTGGCCAGATTTCTTTAGAGAATAAATTTCTGGGGACAGTGAGGAGAAGACGACTTGCCTACCTTCCAGGGGTGAGCAAGGGGACCCGGGGAGGGTCTCATTGCCTTTTAAATAGATTTTCAATGATTATGCCAATTTTGAGCCCTTTTACAGCCCTGCCTTCAGCAATACCTTGCTTCTTTACACCCTGAGATTGTCTGTGGTTCTCAGCACTCATTTTTGGCAGGCATACAGATATGTTGACACCTCTCATCCACTGTTGTCTCTTCTGAGGATTTGCCGCCTCTTTTCGGTTACTTCCATCAGTGGTTGTGGAAGTCAGAATTTTAAAAAGACACTCAAGATTCCCACCCACTGGTGAACATGCTTTATATAATTCCCTCCA
This sequence comes from Homo sapiens, assembly GCF_000001405.40. Taxonomy (NCBI): domain Eukaryota; kingdom Metazoa; phylum Chordata; class Mammalia; order Primates; family Hominidae; genus Homo; species Homo sapiens. The sequence continues at coordinate 18,025,168 of NC_000006.12, forward strand.
CTGGAGTGTGGGTAGGATTCGTGACTATGATGGGATATCACTGCCGTAATTGGGCTACAGAATACTTGACTTTCAGTTAATCGAAAGGGAGATTGTTCTGGGTGAGCCTGCCCTAATTAGCTGGACCTTTTACAAGATGGTGAAGCATCACAGAGACCTTCCAACGGGCCTGGCCTGGAAGAAAGAAACAGCCGTGTTGTGAACTGCTATGGAAGGGGCTCATGGTTAACATGAGAGTGGTTCTTGGAACTGAGAGTGGTCCCTGGCTAGTAGCCAGTAAGAAAGTGGGGACTTCATCTCTATAACTCCAGGGAACTGAATTCTGCTCACAACCTGAATGACCATGGCAAGAGGACCATGAGCTTCAGATGAAATCACAGCCCCAGCCACACCATATTTCAGCCTAGTGACACCCTGAGTAGAGGACTCAACCTGTACCTACACTCCTGACACAAACTGAGATCAGTTAGTCTTCATTTAAGTCATTAAATCACTGATAATTTGTTAGGCAGCAATAGACAGCAGATACAGTGAGGTTTCAAAGGTAGAGGAAATAGATTATATGGTACATATGTTTTTTTTTTTTTTTTTTTTTTGAGACTGAGTCACACTGTTGCCCTGGCTGGTGTGCAATGATGCGATCTCAGCTTAGTGCAACCTCTGCCTCCTGGGTTCAAGCTATTCTTCTGCCTCTGTAGCTGGGATTACAGGTGCCTGCCACCACGCCCGGCTAATTTTTTGTATCATTAGTGGAGATGGGGTTTCAGTATGTTGGCCACGCTGGTCTCGAACTCCTGACCTTGTGATCCGCCCACCTCAGCCTCCCAAAGTGTTGGGGTTACAGGCGTGAGCCACTGCACCTGGCAGATACATATGTTTTTATTCGCTAGCATCCTTTCTTGAAAGCCATTCTACTCTGTAGTGCCAGTGGGGACATCAATAGTGGTGTCCCCTCCTGTCTGACTATAAATGTGGATGGATGCCCACCAGCCACACTGATTGTCTCAGGAATGGACATGCATCTTAGTCCATTTGTGTTTCTATAAAGGAATACATGAGGCCTGGTAATCTATAAGAAAAGTTTGTTTGGCTCATGGTTCCATAGGCTGTATAAGCATGACACTTGCATCTCCTTGGGTTCTGGTGAGGCCCTAGGAAGCTTTTAGTTATGACAGAAGAGAAGGAGAGCCAGCGTGTCACATGGTGAGAGAGGGAGCAAGAGAGATGCCATGATCTTTTATTTGTATTTATTTTGAGATAGTCTCACTCTGTCACCCAGGCTGGAGTGCAGTGGCACGATCTTGGCTCACTGCAAGTTCCTCCTCCCGGGTTCACGCAATTCTCCTGCCTCAGCCTCCCGAGTAGCTGGGACTACAGGTGCCCACCACCATGCCCGGCTAATTTTTTATATTTTTAGTAGAGACGGTTTCACCGTGTTAGCCAGGATGGTCTCGATCTCCTGACCTCATGATCCACCCACCTCGGCCTCCCAAAGTGCTGGGATTACAGGCGTGAGCCACCGCACCCGGCCACCATGCTCTTTTAAACTCTTGAGTGAATTAAGAGCAAGAAGTCACTCATCACCAAGGGGATGGTGCTAAGCCATTCACGAGGGATCCACCCCATGACCAGAACACCACCTACCAGGCCCCAACCCCAACACTGGGGATCAAATCACAACATGGGACTTCGCAGGGCTAAACCATATCCAAACCATAGCAACATCTGAGTTCATTTGCACTACTAAGAGTCTCTCCTGGAGAGAGGATTGTTTTGCACTGGAGTAGTTAAAATAGATATGAACCTGAGGTGGCTGTATACGTTATTTTCTGTCGTGTTTTTGATGTCAACCAAAGCATTCTGATAATACGTCCCATTTTATAGATTCAGAAACAATGATCAGAGATAATGAAGGATTTGACCAAGGACTTACAATGAGGCAGGTATTTGGGTTCCTATTGTCTAACCAAGAGCCAGAAATGTCTGACACAGAAAAACTGAGAAGAAGCCTGGGCATGGTGGCTTACGCCTGTAATCCCAGCACTTTGGGAGGCCAAGGCAGGCAGATTGCTTGAGCTCAAGTGAGACCAGCCTAGGCAACATGGCAAAACCCGTCTCTACCAAAAAACAAAAAAACAAAAAAAAAAAACAGATGTGCTGGCTTGTGTCTGTAGTCCCAGCTACCTGGAAGGCTGAGGTGGGAAGATCGTTTGAGCCCAGGAGGTGGAGGTTATAGTGAGCCAACATCATGCCACTATAGTCCAGCCTGGGTGACAGAGCAAGACCCTGTTTCAAACAAAAAAACAACTGTGGGAAGACTTGCCTGCCCTGTTCACCATCCTTGCACTTGTCACTTGGCCACAATAGTGTCACCATCTTGCCTCCATTTCCCCCCTCATCTTCCAATCTGTTATGTTTTGCTCTGCATCTGCGTAGGCCACAGAGCGAGGCAGAAGCCAACTCTAATATTAGAACAATGCCACTACCACCAACAGCAAATTTTCCTACATTCAGCATGGTTCCTATGCACAGAATTATATAGTAGACCAAGAATGAGTCTTAGAAATCTTACAAATTTATTTTATAAATGATCAAATTAGTGCCTAGTGTCTCTTACCCCAAGATGGGCAGCTTTTTGTGGAAGCGTTTAGAATAGACCACACATCACCCAATTTCCAGTCCTTGTTGGTTTCCAGGGAGAGTTGGAGGGTACTGGTATGAATGGTCATGGTCCAGGATGTCCTGTGACTCTGGTGTGAGGGAGTGGAAATTTGGCATGACAGATAGGCTGTTGAGGGTAAGTGGCAGCTCCTTTTCTTTTCCTTTTTTTTTTTTGGAGACAGAGTCTCACTCTGTCGCCCAGGCTGGAGTGCAGTAACGCGATCTCGGCTCACTGCAAGCTCCGCCTCCTGGGTTCACACCATTTTCCTGCCTCAGCCTCCCGAGTAGCTGGGACTACAGGCACCTGCTACTACTCCCGGCTAATTTTTTTGTATTTTTAGTAGAGACGGGGTTTCACCGTATTGTCCAGGATGGTCTCAGTCTGACCTCGTGATCCGCCCATCTCAGCCTCCCAAAATGCTGGGATTACAGGCGTGAGCCACTGCACCCGGCAGGTCCTTTTCTTAAGTTGACTTTTTTATATTGGTTTTCCCTATATAACTCACAGTCCGGGGCTGTCTCCCATCTGGGAGACTCTTTAGATAGTTAGGGTAAACAGTTTGGACTGGCTTTGCTTGAGAACTTGGATTCAAGTATCTCTCTTCTTTCCTCCGTGTACTTTTCCTCAGACATGTCTCTCCTTGTCTCTTCTTGCCACAAGAATACTAAGATTTAGAGGACTGATAATAAAATATGGGCTTGAAGCAGGGATGATAAATGGGTTTCAACTTGTTTATCACTCCACCTGGTTTTTTTTTTTATAGTTACTTAAAGGCTGTTTTCAGAAGGAACCTTAATATTTTTCCAGGCTCAGCATGATAAAGCAAGTAATATGATTAATTGGTAATGTATTGTGACATGGCCACTGTTTTAGATAGTTTTCACAGAAACAGATTCTAAGACTCAGAGAATTGTTTGCAGGATGTTTATTAGGGAGTAAACTTGAGAACAAAACTTATAAGGTGGCTCATGCCTGTAATTCCCGCACTTTGGGAGGCCAAGGTGGGCGGATCACCTGAGGTCAGGAGTTTGAGACCAGTCTGGCCAACATAGTGAAACCCCGTCTCTACTAAAAACACAAAAATTAGTTGGGCTTGGTGACGCATGCCTGTAATCCCAGCTACTCAGGAGGCTGAGGCAGGAGAATCGCTGAAACCTGGGAGATGGAGGTTGCAGTGAGCTGCGATTGCACCACTGTACTCCAGCTGGGTGACAGAGCAAGACTCCATCTTAAAAATAAATAAAGCTTGTAAGGAAAGGAGGGAAGAAAGATGACACATTGTAGTTGCAACAAAGGCCTTAGCCAACCTCATGGGGATCTCTGGAGCTGAGTTGTCCTAAATGTGTCAAAAGTTCCAGGCTTTAGTACTGACCCCTTGCCATCACTCTCTCCAACGTTGACCATGGAGGTCTGTGTGCTTGGGCAAGGCAGCTTCCTTTGACCAAGGCCATTCCTGGAGAAGGATGCAATTACGAGCCATCGGTGGCCAACACTCCTGGTAGCTGGGGGGAATGAATGCCTAGGTCCTAAAAGAGAGATCTGGGTAGCATACCACAGTATTCACTATAGCCACAGAAGTAGGAGTGGCTATGCATGTGCCAGATATTGGTCACTTCTGGCCTGTGGGAGAAGGCCAAAGAAATTGCTCCCCTGCTTTTAAGTGTGAGCCTTAGGCCATGGCAGCAAGATAAGACCGTGAAACACACAAAGTTCAGTCTAGCTCACTAGAAGACAATACTGAGATCAGGACCAAAAGTCCTTGTTGTCATAAAGTGTCCTTGCACCTGGCCTTGTCTACTGTGCATATACCTTCCTTGGCAAACTCACATGGGGTGACAGTAGCTTCATCAGCAACTGGAGAGGATTTAGGAATTTGGGACTCCAAATTCTGGTCATCTTTCTCAACATCCACATTGGAGACATGACTAACATCTATTTAATGCTAGCTCATTACAACTAACAATATAATTCTTGGCTTACCCCACCTTCCCTCTCCCCCATGACTCCTAGCTCTGAAGGTGTCCATGTTGGAGGGTATCAGGGCCCCAGCTTTCACTGGAGTCTTCACTAACTGTAGAAGCAGCCGAGAACGAATGTGAATCTGAATCCTGCATAGGCGGTCATTTGATGTTCAGGGCTTCTCTATAATTCTGTGTATTCCCAATCTCCTCCCAAATCCCTTAAATCTTCTCCCAACCCTTTAACTGTAAGAAAGCCCAGGTACAGCTTATCTATGGAGCCAGAGTTGGGATCAGAATGTTCTGCTGAGCCAGGACAACAGTTATACTTGTTCTTCCACCAAGGTGACACGATACGGTGTTTATGCCAAAACTTCAACTTTCCCAACCTAAATAATGGATGGCCTCAATAGCAGCCTGCCATTTATACTTATTTGCTTGAGATTAAGTCCCTTTCCCCCTTATGATTAAAGAACAGCAATGATCATACATCTAAATATGAAGCTAAACCTGCAAACCTTCTGGGAGAAATCATAGAAAAATATTTTTATGACTTTAGGGTAGGAAAACATTTTTTTTTTTTTTTTTTTTTTGAGATGGAGTTCCACTCCTGTTGCTCAAGCTGGAGTGTAACGGCGTGGTATCAGCTCACTGCAACCTCCGCCTCCCGGGTTTAAGTGATTCTCCTGCCTCAGGCTCCCAAGTAGCTGGGATTACAGACTCCCGCCACCATACCCGGCTAAGTTTTTTTTTTGTATTTTTAGTAGAGACAGGGTTTTACCATGTTGGCCAGGCTGGTCTTGAACCCCTGACCTCAGCTGATCAGCCCGCATCAGCCTCCCAAAGTGCTGAGATTACAGGCGTGAGCTACCGGGCCCGGCCAGGGTAGGAAAACATTTCTAAGACAAGTCACAAAAGGCATAGGAGAAAAAATTGAAAATTAAACTTCACTAAAATTAAAAACCTCTGCCCATCAAAAGACACCATTAAGAAAGTGAAAAGGAGCCTGGGCGCAGTGGCTCACACCTGTAATCCCAGCACTTTGGGAGGCTGAGGCGGGTGGATCGCCTGAGGTCGGGAGTTCGAGACCAGTCTAACATGGAGAAACCCCATCTCTACTGAAAATACAAAAATTAGCCAGCTGTGGTGGTGCATGCCTGTAATCCCAGCTACTCGGGAGGCTGAGGCAGGAGAATCGCTTGAACCCGGGATGCAGAGGTTGCGGCAGATCGTGCCATTGCACTCCAGCCTGGGCAACAAGAGTGAAACTCCATCTCAAAAAAAAAGTGAAAAGGTATAAACTTAGAGAAAATATTTTGTTTTCTCTAATTATATTTAGATATTGTTATCTAAAAAGAATATAGACGTTTGACAAAGGACTTTTATAACCAGAAAGGATATAAAGACATCTATTTTAAAAACTCCTATACACCAATAATAAAAAGACAAGCAAGTCTCCTTAAAAATGAGCAAAAGATTTGAATTGGCATGTTGCAAGAGAAGATAACTGAAAGGCTATAAAGTCTATGAAAAGGTCCTCAACATAATTATTCATCAGAGAAATGGAAATTCAAACCACAATGAGATACTACTACAGACAAGGCAGAATCAATAAAATTAAAAGGACTGGCAATTACGTGATAGTTAGGATGTGGAGGAGCTGGAACACTCATACATTGCTGGTGGGAGCATACAATGGTGAACCGCTATGGCAAGTGGTTTGGCAATTTCTTTTTTTTTTTTTTTTTTTTTTTGTGAGATGGAGTTTTGTTCTTGTTGCCCAGGCTGGAGTGCAGTGGTATGATCTCGGCTCATTGTAACCTCTGCCTCCTGACTGGAATCAAGTGATTCTCCTGCCTCAGCCTCCTTAGTAGCTGGGATTACAGGCATCTGCCACCACACCTGGCTGATTTTTGTATTTTTAGTAGAGACAGGGTTTCACCTTGTTAGCCAGACTGGTCTCAAACTCCTGACCTTAGGTGATCTGCCCTCCTCAGCCTCCTAAAGTGCTGGGATTACAGGCGTGAGCCGCCATGCCTGGCCAGTTTGGCAATTTCTAACAAAGTTAAATGTATATCTACCTGAATGACTCAGCAATTCCACTTCTGCATATATACCCATAAATAAGTGTATATGTGCATAAAAAGATTTGTTTGTGAATGTTTTTAGCAGCCTTATTCATAATAGCCCCAAGGTGGAAACAACCAAAGTGTCCATCAATAGGAAAGTGGATAAACAAATTGTGGTATAATAATACAATGAAATACTACTCAGCAGAGAAAAGGAACAAATTGATACAGGCAACAGCATGGAAGGTGTTCAAAAACATTAGTTTGAATGAAAGAAGTCAGATACCATTAAAAATATATACTGTATGATCCCATTTATATAAAATTTAAGAACAAAAAACTATTGCTTTAAAAGTCAGAATGCAGGTGGGTGAGTATTAACTGGAGGCAGAAAGGGAGTTTTGGGGGTAATGAAAATGCTGTATCTTTATGTAGAAGATGATTATATAGAGGTGTATATATACAAACATTTTTTAATGTCAAAATTCATTTTAAGATATATGCATTTTACTATAAATTATACTTCAATACATAAATTATACTTCAATAAAGTAGTGATAAATGAATAAATAATCATAACGTAAAAATTGAAAGTCTGAAAACAATTGCTGATAATCCAGTCATCAATTAACACTCCCCCAGTCTTATTTCAGTGTATATTTATGTGGATAAAATATTATCACACATATATATTTTATTTTGCTTTTCCCCCTTATAACACTTTCTCATGACATTAAAAACTTCTTAGCCAGGTGTGGTGGTGCATGCCTGTAGTCCCAGCTGCTCAGGAGGCTGAGGCAGCAGATCACTTGAGCCCTGGAGTTTGAGACCAGCGTGGGCAACAAAGTGAGACCCTGTATCTACAAAAAGAAAAAAATAGCCAGGCAGACATGGTGGCACATGCCTGTAGTCCCAACTACTTGGGAGGCTAAGGTGGGAGGATCACTTGGACCGGGGAGTTTGAGGCTGCAGTGAGCTGTGATTGTGCCACTGTACTCCAGCCTGGCAACAGTCAGGCCCTATCTTAAAAAAAAAAAAAAAAGTTGGGGGGAGTGGAGCAGCAAAAACTAAAAACTAACATCTTGAATCTCTGCCTAGTGGCATAGTGCCCTGGCATCCTGATGTGGAGGTGCATGTAGTTCCAGACTGACTTATTATTAATAAATGTGAATGGACATTCTCCTCTGCAGAACTCTGGAGGCAGTACAAGACAGAAGACAGACTGAGATGAGGATAGCATCGTTCCTGCTTTTATAAATGGATTGTTGAGGGAGTAGGGAAGAACTAAGGAAAGCTTCACAGAAGAGATGTTTTCACTGGTCTAAAGGAAGAGTAGGGTTTGCTAGGCAGAGGGGAACCACAGGGAATAAGCAAAGGCGTGGAAGCACAGTGTTACAAGGTGCTGGGATCATGGAAGTGTGTAAGCATTACAGTGACATTATAATATTTGTGCTTAAAATTCTTCTCTGGAAGTGTTCTGGGCCAAGGAGGATGGATTGTATGTGGAAATATTGAGAGATATTAGGGACAGGTAGAAAAAATAAGGGACTCCTGATAATAGACAGGATTAATGGAATTGGGGTGGAGGAAATGTATTTGGGAGGTATTTGGGGACAATTGGGCCCTGAAGGTGAAAGGGAGAAATTTTATTCAGTAACAACTTCTGCTGAATTTACAATCCTGGCTATGCCATTGACTTAATTGTATGACTTTTGACAAGTCTCTTAACCTATTACGACTTCAGTTTCTAACCTGTAAAATAAATAAACTGGACTAGATTAGGACTAGATTCATGGTGTCACCTTCTCCTATATCAAAGGCAGATGTTGATGTTGAACATGGTCTTTTTCCTTGCCGAGCTGGGACAGGACTCCAGGCAGCCACCACCAATGATTGGAAGAGTTGAAATCTATATGCTTGCCCTGGACACAATAATCTCCAAGGTTATTCCCAGTTCTAAAAGTATTTTTATAAATTACATAATAATGGGCAGGTGCAGTGGCCCACACCTGTAAGCCCAGCATTTTGGGAGGTCAAGGGGGGCGAATTGCTTGAGCTCACGAATTAGAGACCAACCTGGGCAACATGGCAAAACCCTGTTTCTACAAAAAATACAAAAATTAGCCGGGCATGGTGGTGCACACCTGTAGTCCCAGATACCCAGGAGACTGAGGTAGGAGGAGGATTGCTTGAGCCTGGGAGGTGGAGATTGCACCACTGATGCCTGTAATCCCAGCTACTCAGGAGGCTGAGGTAGGAGAATCACTTGAACCCGGGAGGCGGAGGTTGTGGTGAGCCAAGATCGCCCCATTGCACTCCAGCCTGGGCAACAAGAGCGAAACTCCATCTCAAAAAAAAAAAAAAAAAAAAAAAAGATTGCACCACTGCACTCCAGCCTGGGGTATAGAGCCAGACCTTGTCTCAAAAAAAAAAAAAAAAAAAAAATTAAATAATAAATTACACATTCTTCAAATGGGAAGTGGAATTAGAAAAACTATATTAAATTAGGACCTGTAAGTAGTACTATAATGTGAACTTATTCCTTATTCTTTATTTGGGGGATTTGATTTTAATGAAAGGAATTTCTCATAGACTGTAAATAGTAATCAATACTAAATGATGAAAATGACAGTTGATTCCCTGTAATTAAGATAACTCCTTAGTTCCTATCATTTTCACAACCATATTCTCAGATGAGTTTATCATCTAAAAATATACATGAAGAAATAAAAATACAAGCCTTCTCTTGAACTCATTTTATTTGTTTGCTTAGTTATTTACTTATTTTTGGTAAGACAACATACATTTAACTATGTATTAATCCTGAGTACAAGTAAAAATTGCTTACAATATTTTTAAAGGAAGAAGTGAGAAGTTTCTGAAACCTAAGTGAAAAGATTTTTCTTTCTTCAAATAGGAGCAGATCTCTGTTTTTTTTTTTTTGTTTTAACATTTAAATAATGCGTTCAGCATTGACTACCAATAGCTTGATGTGAAGAATTTGCTGATTTCCCTGGTGTAAATGCTGCCACCACCATGGCTCATTGCCAGCTGCAACATGACGTCATTGAGCACAAAGTACAAACCCCGCTCTCTGGAGCTGGAACTAGCCAGCTCCCGCAAAGCAGCAGTGGTTTGGGTTCTTCTACTTTCTCTCTGCTATTTGCTTTGCTTAGGCCAATACTGTTGGCCAGTGAGCTGTATCCCGCCTGAAGAAGTATTTTGTCTGACTGCCACATTATTTTTGTTTTAAATTTAGATATAAATGTTTTCAAATAGAATGTGCTGTTTCCAGGTCAGGTGCAGTGGCTCATGCCTGTAATCCCAGCATTTTGGGAGGCCGAGGTGGGTGGGTCACCTGAGGTCAGGAGTTCGAGACTAGCCTGGCCCACATGGTGAAACCCTGTCTCTACTAAAAATACAAAAATTAGCCAGGCATGGTGGCCGGCGCCTGTAATCTCAGCTACTAGGGAGGCTGAGGCAGGAGAACTGCTTGAACCCGGGAGGAGGAGATTGCAGTGAGCCGAGACTGTGCCATTGTTCTCCAGGCTGGGCAACGGGAGTGAAACTGTTTCAAAAAACAAAAACAAAACAAAAAAAAAAAACGTGCTGTTTCCCCCAGCCACAGACTCTGCCACTTACCATGTCCCACACCAAGCCCACGTGGTTCCTGGGGCATTTGTTTGTGACTCCTGGTTTATACCATTGTCATCCCATCTGTCCTGCTGCTCCTCCCCTGCCACCACCCACAGACGCTGTCCCTGTCCTCACCACTCTCCGTGGAGAACACTGGTACGTTCTGTCGTCTCTTAAGAGCTTTTGTAGTTGACTCTGAATCCTAAGGCCTTAGTGAATGTCGAGTACATACCAGGTACTCGATAAATCTCAAGTAATATGTGAATGAACAAATAAACGTTTACTTATTTCATGAGCGGACTTTGTGTACAAAGCACTATGTCAAGGCTAAGTACTTTATAAGAAATGATTCCTTTGAAATGTGAACATCCTCCAAGATATTTAAAAATTAAACAATAGTCAAATAAAAATGTTATGTGTTAGACAAAACCCACTTTTGCCTAAGGGCATCTATCTAGTGTTATCATTTCACCCACATTAAATAAAGATAGCCCATGTTTTGGAAATAGTGACAGGTCCTGATGTCTAATAATCAAACTTGTAAGTAATATTGTGCAATTAATAACAATCACGTTATATTGCTATAGTATTTTGTAAATTTTGTAGTTCTAATTTTTTTCCACCTTTAAATTTATTTATTTTTATTTATTTTTTTGAGACAGGGTACTCACTCTGTTGCCCAGGCTGGAGTGCAGTGGCGTGATCTCAGCTCACTGCAACCTCCACCTGCTGGGTTCAAGCGATTCTCCTGCTTCAGCCTCCTGAGTAGCTGGAATTACAGGTGTGTGCCACCATGCCCGGCTAAATTTTTGTATTTTTTTTTTTTAGTAGAGATGGCGTTTCACCATGTTGGCCTGGCTGCTTTCAAACTCTCACTTTTAAAACTATTGAACTACTATCATGAGCCAGGCATTATGTTAAATTCACCATCCTTTTAAGATAAAAACTCTCAACAAACTAGAAGCAGAAGAGAATTTCCTCAACCTAATAAAGCCTATCTATTAAAAAAAAACCCACAGCTAACCTCAGACTTAATGATGAAAGACTGAATGGTTTCCCTCTAAGATTAAGAACAAGACAAGGACGTTCTCTCTTACCACCTTTAAAAAAAATTAAATGCTGGATATACAGTAGTAAAGAAAATATAAGATGAGTATATAAGGAAAGTAATAGACTCTTTTCCTTACTTTGTGCTCAGTGACACAAATTGGCAGCTTGAAATCAGCCATGGTGGTGGCAGTATTTACACCATGGAAATTGGCAAATGCTACAAATTAGGCTATTGGCAGGTATATATATGGAAGGTAAGATAAGGAAGGTAATATGTACACACTCCAAGTTAGAAAGGCAGCTTACTACACTTGAGCTCCGCAGGGTGGGAAAGAGCCAGTCGGACAAAACCTAGGGGAAGAGGCCTTCCCAGCAGAGGAAACCAGTACTTGTGATAGCCTTGAGCTGGCAAAGGGACTGGTGCATTCAGGAGCTGATAAAAGACCAGTGTGGCTGCAGCAGACTGACGGGTGAGAGAGGGCGAGTGGAGTTTGGAGTGTAGAAAGGGTTCTTCACATGGGACCTAACAGGCTAAGATGAGGAGTTTGGGTTCTATTCAAAATGCAGTGGGAAAAAGATCAACAAAATTGACAATTAGCTAGACTGACCAAGAATAAAAGAAGAATCAAATTCTACAATCAGAAACGAGAGGGGATATCACTACCAAACTTACAGAAGTAGAAAGGATTATAAGGGAATACTATTAGCAATTGTATGTCAACAAATTAGATAACCTAGGTGAAATGGACAGATTCCTAGAAAGACACAAGCTACCAAAATGGAATCAAGAAGACATGGAAAAACTGAACAGATCTTTAACAGGTAAAGAGATTGGAATTAGTAATAAAAACAAGAAAAACACTTCCCATGAAGAAAACATTAGGCCCAAATGGCTTTACTAGTGAATTCTACCAAACATTTAAAGAGGCATTAACATTGATCCTTCACAAACTCTTCCAAAAAACAGTCGAGGGAATAGTTCCCAAATGATTCTATGAGACCAGTATTACCCTGATACCGAAACTAGACAATGGCATGACTAGAAAACTACAGATCAATATCCCTTATCAATTATAGTTGCAAAAATCCTCAACAAAACACTAGCAAACTGAATACCATGATGGATTAAAAAAGTTACACACTATAACCAAGTGGAATTTGTGCCAGACATGTAAGGTTGATTTAACATACGAAACTCAGTTGATTTAATGTAACATATTAATAGGATAAAGGACAAAAACCATGTGGTCACATTAATAGGTAACAGAAAAAGCACTGACAAAATTCACCACCCTTTTAAGATAAAATTTCTCAACAAACTAGAAGCAGAAGAGAATTTCCTCAACATAATAAAGCTTAGCTATTAAAAAAAAAATCCACAGCTAACATCAGACTTAATGATGACAGACTGAATGCTTTTCCTCTAAGATTAAGAACAAGACAGGGACGTTCACTCTTAACCACCTTTTAAAAATTAGAGACAGAGTCTTGCTCTGTCACCCAGAATGAACTGCAGTGGCACAATCATGGCTTACTGCAGCCTCAAATTGCTACTCAAGCAATCCTTCCACCTCAGCCTCCTGAGTAGCTGGGATTACAGGTGTGTACCACCACACATGGCTAAAACTGTTACCACTTCATTTAACATTGTGCTGAAGGTCATAGAAAAATTAAGCAAGAAAAAGTAAAAACTACCTCCATCGTTAAGAAAGTGAAAAGATACACAGTGGAAGAAAATATTTGCTTACAATATATGTGTTAAGTAAATTATATCTAATATATAAAGAACTCTTACAACTTAATAAAAAGACAACCCTTTTTATTTTTGAGACAGGGTCTCACTGTTGCCCAGGCTGGAGTGCAGTGATGCAATCATAGTTCACTGTAACCTTGAACTCCTGGGCTCAAGTGATCCTCCTGTTTCAGCCTCTTGAATAGCTAGGGCTACAGGTACATGCCATCATGCCCAGCAATTTTTTTTTTTTTTTTGTAGAGACAGGGTCTCACTATGTTGCCCAAGCTGATCTTGAACTCCTTGCCTCAAGCCATCATCCAGCCTCAGACTCCCATAGTGATGAGTTTACAGGTGTAAGCCACTATGCCCAGCCCAGTTTCTTAAATGAGCAAAATATTTGAATAGAATTTTCTTCAAATAAATATGTAGGTTGGGCACGGGGCTCACGCCTGTAATCCCAGCACTTTGGGAGGCCGAAGCAGTGGATCACTTGAGGTAAGGGGTTTGAGACCAGCCTGGCCAACATGGTGAAACCCTGTCTCTACTAAAAATACAAAAAATTAGCCAGGCATAGTGGTGCACACCTCTAATCCCAGCTACTTGGGAGGCTGAGGCAGGAGAATTGCTTGAACCCAGGAGGCAGAGGCTGCAGTGACCTGAGATCATGCCATTGCACTTTAGCCTGGGCGACAGAGCGAGACTCTGTCTCAAGAGAGAGAAAAAAAAGAAATATACAAATGACTAATAAGCAATGAAAAAATGCTCAACATCATTAGTCATTAGGGAAATGCAAATCAAAACCCCAGTGAGAAACTACTGCATGAATTATTATAATCAAAAAGACAGGTAACAAGTGTTTGTGAGGATGTGAAGAAATTGGAGCCCTCATTCAGTGCTAGGGGGATTGTAAATAGTACAGCTACTTTGGAAAATTATTTGGCAGTTGCTTAAACAGTTAAGCATAAAGTTACCATATGACTCAGCATTTTTATTCTTATGAATATACCCAAGATAATTGAAAATACATGTCCTCACAAAAATGTGCACATGAATGTTCATAGCATTATTTGTAATAGTCAAAAAGTGAAAATAACCAAATGTTCATGAGTGAATAAACAAAATATGGTATATCCACACAATGGAATATTACTTGGCAATTAAAATAAATGAAGTACTAATACATGCTGACACACAGATCAATCTTGAAAGCATTATGTTAAGTGAAAGAAGCCAGACCTCAAAAGTCATGTATTATAATATTCCATTTATATGAAATGTCCAGAACAGACAAATCCATAGAGAGAGAAAATCGATTAGTGTTTGTTAGGGGCTGGAAGGGGTGGGAATAGTAGTAACTACTTATGAGTATTGGGTTTCTTTCTGGGGTGATGAAAGTGTTCTGGAATTAGATAGTGGTTATGATTGAACATTGTGAAAACACTAAAACCACATTGTGTATTTTAATTTGTATACTGTAAGAGGGCGAGTTTTATGGTATGTGAATTATATCTCAGTGAAGATGTCATTTAAAAATTATAGTGGTGGGAGGCCGAGGCAGGCAGATCACCTGAGGTCAGGAGTTTGAGACCAGCCTGGCCAACATGGTGAAACCCCATCTCTACTGAAAATACACAAATTAGCCAGGTGTAGTGGCACGCGCCTGTAATCCCAGCTATTTGGGAGGCTGAGGCATGAGAATCGCTTGAACCTGAGAGGCAGAGGTTGCAGTGAGCTGAGATCACACCACTGCACTCCAGCCTGAGGGAGAGAGTGAGACTCTGTCTCAAAGAAAAAAAAAATTATCTATCTATCTATAGTGGGACATCATCAGAATTAAGCAGAAGAATGGTATGATTTATGCTTTTAAAAAACGAGCTGCTATATGGGGTAGACTGGGGACCGAGGGAAAAGCAAGTGGAGACACCAGTCTGGAGATGGGAGCAGCAGTGAATGTGAAAAACCATGACGTCTAAGACTAATAACAGTGGTGGTGATGGAGACAAGGGGGAATAATTGAGATATATTTTGAAGGGTGAACCTACTGGATTACTTTTGGATTACACGTGGAGAGTGAGAGACTAGGAGGTATTAGGAATGATTCATAAGTTTCTAACTTGGACAACTAAATGGAGAGTGATATTCACCCTTTGAAAAAGTTCATTTTTGTTTCTCCAAAGCCCTATGAATAAGTCATACTCTAAACATTCAATAGATCAAGAAATCGAAGATTAAAAACTTGTTAGCCAGGTGCGGTGGCTCATGCCTGTAATCCTAGCACTTTGGGAGGCTAAGGCGGGTGGATTGCCTGAGCTCAGGAGTTCGACACCAGCCTGGGCAACATGGTGAAACTCCATTTCTACTAAAATACAAAAAATGGGCTGGGCGCAGTGGCTCACACCTGTAATCCCAGCACTTTGGGAGGCCGAGGCAGGCAGATCATGAGGTCAGGAGATCAAGACCATCTTGGCTAACACAGTGAAACCCCATCTCTACTAAAAAAATACAAAAAAATTAGCCAGGCGTGGTGGCAGGCGCCTGTAGTCCCAGCTATTGAGAAGCTGAGGTAGGAGAATGGCATGAACCCAAGAGGCTGAGCTTGCAGTGAGCCAAGATCGCACCACTGCACTCCAGCCTGGGCGACAGAGTGAGACTCTGTCTCAAAAAAAAAAAAAAAAAAACCCAAAAACACAACAACAACAACAACAAAACTTAGCCAGGTGTGGTGGCGTATACCTGTAGTCCCAGCTACTCAGCAGGCTGAGGAGAAGAATTGTTTGAACCTGGGAGGCAGAGGTTACAGTGAGCTGAGATCGCACCACTGCCCTCCAGCCTGGGCTACAGAGCTAGACTCTGTCCCTCCCACCAAAAAAAAAACCCAAAAGACAGTTGTTAAACCGTTAAACCAATTTCTTCCCAAATCAAACAGCTAGAAAGGAGGGGGATGTCAGAGTTGGGACTCCTTTCTAATATGGAAGTTCATGTGCTTTTCACTGAGCAATTTGTTCCTTGTGTTCTCTCTAATAGGCCTGAAGATGTGCATTACATTAAGAATTTACATTTAAGAATATAACATTTACAGAAGATAAAAAAAATTTTTTTAAATACACTGATGTACACTTTTTGCTTTAAAAAAAAAGATGGATATGCGGAAATTTGTAGCCTGATTGTTGACTAAGTTGAGGAATCTTTTGCTATGTAAGAAAATAAATTCCACAGTTCAGTGGGTTAGATACACAATTTTTGGATTTGACAGCTAAAATTATTTGTTCCCTCTGAATGCTGGTTTTTTTTTTTAAGTGCTTTTCTTGGCTTGGTATAACTGGCCTCTATTATTAATGTCCACATTCACTTTTGGACTAATATTTCATTCTTAGGCAAACCAATGTCATTAAAATAGAAGAAAGAGCTCTTATAGAGGCTCTACTCTGCTCCCCAGGTATCAAAGAAGGGCATCTTCAAGAGGGAAATTAGAGTGAGAATTCAGAGAATTGAAAAAGTGAGGAAAGTATAAGGGAAGAGTTTCTCAATCTTTTTTTTTTTTTTTTTTTTTTTTTTTTGAGATGGAGTTTCGCTCTTGTTGCCCAGGCTGGAGTGCAATGGCGCAATCTCAGCTCACTGCAACCTCCGCTTCCTGGTTCAAGTGATTCCTGCCTCAGCCTCCCAAGTAGCTGGGATTACAGGCACGTGCCACCACGTCTGGCTAATTTTTTGTATTTTTAGTAGCGATGGAGTTTCACCATGTTGGCCAGGCTGGTCTTGAACTCCTGACCTCAGGTGATCCACCTGCCTCAGCCTCCCAAAGTGTTGAGATTACAGGCGTGAGCCACCGTGCCTGGCCAGTTTCTCAATCTTTTTAAACCTTTGCCCTCTTAGATAAAACTGCACTTCAACTTCACACATGCTCCATCCTCACCCAGCTGAGATTCTGACATAGATTTCCAGGGTCATATCATCCTCAGTGGTTTGCTGCCAGCCAAGATTCATGAAACTTCACATTTGGCACTTTGTATTACTTTAAAATTTTCCAGTAGAAGTTTGTGTTAGGATATTTAACATGGCTTTTTGAATGACACTCCACCTCTGCCTCTCCAGTCCTGCAACAAAGAGAGCACTTCTCTTCCTTTGTCATTTTCCCTGTGGTCTCTTAGGACACGCTAGGTCCCCTGCTTCTCTTCTTATATCCTCTCCTCTCCCCAAGGGGAGTTTCTTCTGCATATTCATAGTTTCTGCTCCTTCTTTTCCTTGGCTTGGCCATCCTGGACACAAACCTAGTTGTGATGGCAGCACACTCCATGGAGCTGGTGAGAGCCCCACCCCTTCTGAGTTGGGACAGGAGCTCCCCGGGTGCTGCTATAGCCGCCCAATGCAGCTGCAGACCCAGGCCTCCTGCTCTACAGAGCAGGCAGGAACCCCACTCTCCTGGGTGGGGCTACAGGAACCCAAACTGTAGCTGTGGATTCATCTGAGCCTCCCTGTGCTCTTGGGGGAGGGCTGGCAGCAGGCAGGATCTGCCTTTCTGGGTGAGGGTGTGGCTGCAGCCACCCTCCTAGATGCGGGAGCCAGGTGTCTCTGCAGCCTGCACCCTCAGCAGCCCCAGGAAGGACCCCCTCCGCTGCCCTGAGCCACCCACTCCTCTGAGCTGTTCTAACACTAAATAAAACTCTTCTTCTCCACCCTGCGCTTGTCTGTGTACCTCATTCTTCCTAGATGCAGGGTGAGAACTCGGGCAAAGGTGCTTCGGCCGCAGAGGTTTCCCACCAGAAAAATTGACACCCCAGAGATCCTGTAACACTTGGACATCAGTGTCTGCATCCTTTTGTTTTCTGTTCTTTCTCCTGCTAAGTGACCCCTTTTCTTGTTACTTTTCCATTCAAGCTGCTGGCAGAAAGAAGCTGTCTGGCCATGTTCAGGCTAGAAGTCACAGTCAGCTCATACCTGCCTAGGTCAGAGGCTCCATCCGGTCCCACATCCATAAGAGGCTGGTGGAAAACATGCTGCCTAACCCCACCACTTTGACAAGTGGATGTCAGTGGGCAGGGCCCATGGAGCCTGCTCAGCAGAGCACTGTTGTTCCTGGAGGCCATGCTGACTGCAGCAGTCAAGGCTTTAGCTGCTTTACCAGTGCTCCCCTCCAGAGCTCCGTGGCAGGGTGAGTCATGCTGTGGGAATCTCACACTGGAAATGGCCAAAAAGCTTCTATTTGCTTCAGTGTTAGTTTCTTTCTTTCTTTTTTTTTTTTTTTGAGATGGAATCTTACTATGTCACCCAGGCTGGAGTGTAATGACTCGATCTTGGCTCACTGCAACCTCCGTCTCCTGGGTTCAAGCAATTCTCCTGTCTCAGCCTCCTGAGTAGCTGGGACTACAGGAGCCTGCCACCACACCCAGCTAATTTTTTGTATTTTTAGTAGAGACGGGGTTTCGCCTTGTTGGTCAGGCTGGTCTCGAACTCCTGACCTCAGATGATCCACCTGACTCGGCCTCTCAAAGTTCTGGGATTATAAGCATGAGCCACCACGCCTGGCAATGTTAGTTGGTTAGCCTGAGGAAACTGACACTTTTCTGAGGGGTAGCTAGCATGGCAAGAAATTAAATGAGCATTCTTCTTCTTCTTTTTTTTTTTTTTTTTTGAGACGGAGTCTTGCTCTGTTGCCCAGGCTGGAGTGCAATGGCGTGGTCTAGGCTCACTGCAACCTCTGCCTCCCAGGTTCAAGCTATTCTTCTGCCTCAGCCTCCCGAGTAGCTGGGACTACAGGTGTCTGTCACCGCGCCTGGCTAATTTTTTTTATTTTTAGTAGAGAGGGGGTTTTCACCATGTTCGCCAGGCTGGTCTCGAACTCCTGACCTCAAGTGATCTGCCTGCCTCGGCCTCCCCAAGTGTTGGGACTACAGGTGGGAGCCACCGCTCCCAGCCAAAATGAACATTCTTTAATATTGCTATGACCTTAAATCCTCATCTGGTATTCCTTACTGTGATAAGGTGGGGGCCAGCTGGGCCACCACATATAGCTGTGTAGGTTGTGACTTGCGCAACTCCAGGCCGTCCCTTTTCACATTAGCATCTATACCCTAGCCTTACTTTTATCCCCCAGGCCATTCCTACTTTTCCAGCCACATGGAAGAGAGAACATAAGCAAAAAAGAAGTCTCATCCTTCTCCTCGTTCCTCCCATTGAAAGGTCCTTCTCCCTTACATGCACCACGTGGCCCATTGCATGCTCTCTGTGCTGTGAGTGTGTCCTGGGCCTAGAGTAAAAAACGTTTCGTTTTTGGAAGTGAATTAAGGAAGTGCGCTCGAGTGGCTTCTTGACTTTAGTATCTGGGAAAGTTATCTTCCTAGAGGTGATGAAGGTGCTAAAAAGCAAAGTGGAAGATATGTGGATAACATACCTGACATGCTTTTAGCCCTGCCAGCCCTGACATAGGAACAATCACATTACCATTAATGTGAGGACAAGCAGCCTGAATCAGTGTGGCCCAGGATAGACATGACCTAATTTGGAAGCTAAAATGTTGTTTTACAAAAAGGCCTGAGGCTCTCGTATCCCTCCTCTCCAGCATCGTCAGTTCCTTTAGAAAAGAGAAAGGCAAAGGTTGATGGGAATGCTAGTGGAAATGGAATCAGGTTAGCCTGGAAAGAATTCTATGCTTCCTTTGCACTATTTTATGTACAGTATCTGTGTCTGTTTGGTTGACAACAAGGAAGGAAGTTGCTTCTCCCTATTATTCCTTATCAGTTCACATGTCTCTGTTCCCTGAACATTCCCAGTACTTTCTGCCTCAGCTATAAAGTTCTCTGCTTTGAATTCTGCCATATTCAATGCTTAGCAAAATACAATACAAAATTCTTTGAATTCTGCTAATTCAATGCTTAGCGAAAATGTAAAAAACTTTTTTAGTATAAAATCTTAAAAAGTACTCAATACTACTTAAAAAAGAGAGAAAATAGAATAGTATAATAATATCATACGTCCAGTAGTGGGTTGAAAATGTTATGCCCATGTCCTGATGCTGAAAATTTATGAATGTGACTTTATTTGGAATGAAGGTCTTTGCAGATATAATTAAAGATCTGACAATGAGATCATCCTGAATTATCTAGTGGGCTCTAAATTCAATGATAAGCATTCTTATAAGAGACAGAAGCAGAGAAGACACAGACACAGAAGAGAAGGCCATGTGATCACGAGAAATGGATTGGAGTTATGAGCCCGAGCCCATGGCCAAGAACCCTTGAGGCCACCAGAAGCTGGAAGAGGCAGGAAGGATTCTCCCTTAGAGCCTTCAGAGGGAGCAAGACCCTGTTTTGATTTCAGACCTCTGGCTTCCAGAACTGTGAGACAATAAGTTTCTGTTGTTGTAAGCCCCCCAATTTGAGGTAATTTGTTACAGCAGCCTCAGGAAATGAATACATCATCACCTAGATTCAAATTCACTATTTTGCCACATTTGCTTTACTTCTGTCTCCCTCCCTCACTCCCTCCTTCCCTCCCTCCCTCCCTTCTTCCCTTCCTTTTTTCCTTCCTTCCTTCCTTCCTTCCTTCCTCCCTCCCTCCCTCCCTTCCCCCCTCCCTTCCTTCCCTTTCTTAATGAAGTGTTTTAAAGCAAATTCCTAGTATTATATAATTTAACTCCTATATACATCTACATATATCTCAGAATTTACAAGCATTTAAAAATGTAACCCCAATGCCATTATAACAACCAACTAATTAACTAACTAAAAATAAGTATCTGGTATCTAAAATATCTTTTAATATTTCTCTTTAACACTATCTCTGAATCTTACTAGATTTTCACTCCTCTTTGAATTTTCCTATATTTTTGAGCTATCTTTCTAGAAAGGAACTGCCTAGGATTAAATGCACCATTACAGGTTTGGGCTTCTATGTGTATGGATGGCAAGTATCTCAATGTTCTTCCTCACTAATGGTGAAAAATTTTTGGAATTCTTTCTCTAGCTAAAAATAAAGATTTACTTTTTCCTTTACAACATTAGCTTTTGTCTAGGATTGACATTCAGAAGTCCCACTTCAAAGTCATTTGGGAGGTGGGTGAAAATAAAGTCACAGAACAGAAAAGCAAACTGGATTCTAATATTTTTGCCCCAAATTTATAAGAATTTAGCTGTGAAAAATGAAATACCAAAAAAAGGTGAAAACCAGGAAGTTATTCTAAGTTGGCTTTTAAGTGATTCTATCACAAGTTTCTCCTTTCTGTGAGAAATTTCTTTTTTTTTTTTTTTGAGACAGAGTTTTGCTCTGTGGCCCAGGGTGGAGTGCATTGGTGGCATGATCTTGGCTCACTGCAACCTCCACCTCCCAGGTTCAAGGTATTCTTTTGCCTCAGCCTCCCAAGGAGGTGGGATTACAGGTACCCACCACCACGCCCGGCTAATTTTTGTATTTTTAGTGGAGACAGGGTTTCGCCATGTTGGCCAGGCTGGTCTCCAACTCCTGACCTCAGGTGATCCACCCGCCTTTGCCTCCCAAAGTCATGGGATTACAGGTGTGTGCCACTGCACCCGACGGAGAAATTTCTCTTAACATTTTAAAAGTGCCAAATGTTATGCTCTGAATAATTGTGTTTGACAGTCCTTTCAAAGAGATATATGGTGCCCAATGAACTGTATTTCAGTGCTTTCTGTTATAGAGGCATATAGCCTTTTGGCACTTTACCTGTGTTCCCCAAATTGCTTTTCTCTTTTAAGGACGTTACTATTGATCATGTCCCTCATCCCTAGTAAAAGGAGTGAAAGGAAAATCATTGATACATGTTATAAAAAGGGTGTACTGGCATCTCTTTAGGTGACATGGTGTGAGTGGTACAGGTCGAATCCTTTGCCTGAAAATTACACTGCCTGTCTCCTAGGTTATTACCTTAGAAGCTTCTTTGTTCTAAGGCATGCTTTGTCAAAATTTAATACTCTTTAGAAAGAGTGTGCCTTTGCATGTGCTGAAAAATGTTGGTGTTGTGAACATGAGCGTCGAGGCTTCGGTGGCTGACCATGAGCTGAGAGCTAGATGTGTAAAACTGGGGAATGAATATTTTGGGGAGACAGACGAGGTAGTGCCATCATGATGGAAGAAAGGCAGCCTGAATAACGAAGAAGTGTGAAGGTACCAAGGATAAAACCCTCCAGCCTCCTTTCCCATTGTTCCTCCTTCAAACCCTTGCGTCCCTAGGCTCAGGGCTGACTTGGGCACTGGGACAATTGCTGAATGCTGAGCTTTTCTGTCTGTAAGCAGTGGAACTACATCATTTGAAGTGGGCTTAGTCAGATCTTGAGATCTAGCCAAGTGACTCTGCCTCCCTTGTCTCTCTTTATATATCATATATTTCATGAATGGTTCTCTTTCAACAAGGAAGCTACCTCTCCTTCCTGTAGACTTTGAAGCCCTTGATTTGTGCCCATGAACTTGTTTGTTCATGCTTAAATGAAACCCTTGGCAGAGTAGACAAGCTTGTTCCCAGTCTCTTTTCCTGGTAATATTTTCTTCTATCATAATCCAGTCAAAGCGAAGGAGGAATGTAACTGATTAGCACACAGTTTATAGCATTAAGAGTTGGGAAGTAAGAATAATGCGTTTGAATTCCAACATCTACCACCTTCCTTGATAACTTATTGTCTTAATTTTCTCAGCACTCAGCTAGAAGAGAGGAAGAATGATTGGGTCTCTCAAAATAAAGGATAGGTCTGGTTTCAGCTCTGACATTTAGAAGTGCTTGGAAGTCATCACTTTTACCCTTATAACAAGAAAAAAGCTGAACAAATGGAAAATTAATGACTTTTTAAAGACCTACTGGAGAAATAAAGTCATAGAGCAAACCCCCACCCTGAAATCTGGAGAGACAGGTGAATATAGAGAATAATAACTGAGGTCAGCTTACCTGAAGCAGAAGCCACTGGAGCCACACATTGATAGGAGCACTTCAATGGCAATTCTGACAAATTGCTAGAGTAACTCCTGGAGGCCCAGTTTAGAGGTGCCCCATACTTTGTGGGTTTTACCTCCAGGAATCCCACTTGGTTCTCAGATGAAGATCTGAGAAAAGCCCCCACATATTTCTGGCAGGGGTGGGCAAGGGAAGTAACTGTTTTGGATTTCACCCAGAGTGTTTCCCATAACAAAGGCCTGCTCTCCAAGACTAACAACTTTACCAGAGTGTTATCTACCTGAGGGAAGGGCAGTTAGTCAATTCCAGTCTCCTTTTGCCTTCTATTAATATTTCCCCTAAATGGAGGGAAAAACAGGATAAGAAACACTTCTCAAGGTCATGTCCCAGGGATCCAGGCCCACTAAAAGACTGAGATTTAATGATAAGGTTATTGAGCACTTTCTCTTCCCCACACCTTACCATCAAACCAACTAGGTTCCAGCATAATAACAGTAGATTGTAACTAAAAGAGCTTCAAGACACGGACTCTATTTAAGAAAGAGTTCTTAGGGAAATCCAAAGCAAACAGGGTGAAAAAAAATACAAGGACACCAAAGGAAACTGAAGTCTCTGGCACCTACAGGCACATAAAACGCTAAACACAGCCCAGTTCTCAGCCAGATTAGCATAAAACCTCAACTGAGGCCTATTTACTACAATTATTGTTCAAAACATCAAATTCCCACTTTTAGCAAAAAAGGGCAAGACATACTAAAAACAAAACACAGTCTGAAGAGACAAACTAAGCATCAGAATCGGACTCAGATATGACACAGATTTTGGAATAATGAGATAAGGCATTTAAAACAGCTAAAATTAATATGTTAACAAGTCTAATTTTAAAAAGTAGAAAACATGCAAGAATAGATGGTTAATGTGAACAGAAAAATGAAAGTTCTAAGAAAAAAAACAAAAGGCAATGCTAGAAAGTGAAAGCACTAACAGAAATTTTAAAACCTCTTAATGGGCTCATCTGTGGACTGGAAATGACGAAGAAAAGGATCAGTGAACTTGAAGATATGTCAGTAAAAACTTCCTATACTGAAATGAAAAGAGAAAAAAGGATTTAAAAAAACCCAAAAAAACAGAATAGTGTATGCAATAACTATGGGAAAATTACAAAAGTTGCAAATATATATAATTGGGATACCAGAAGAAGAATAGAGAAAGAGGCAGAGAAATAATTAAAGTAAGAAATAATAATGGCTGATTTTTTTGCAAAATTAATGACAGACACCAAACCACAGATCCAGGGAGCTCAGAGAAGCTTATAAGAAACCATGTTAGAGCTGGGCGAGGTGGCTCATTCCTGTAATCCCAGCACTTTGGGAGGCCGAGGCAGGATCTCCTAAGGTCAGAAGTTTGAGACCAGCCTGACCAATATGGTGAAACCCTATCTCTACTAAAAATACAAAAATTAGCCAGGCATGGTGGCGTGTGCCTGTAGTCCCAGCTACTCAGGAGGCTGAGACAGAATTGCTTGAACCTAGGAGGCGAAGTTTGCAGTGAGCTGAGATCACACCACTGCACTCCAGCCTGGGCAACAGAGTGAGATGTTGTCTTAAAAAAAAAAAAAAAAAAAAGAAGAAGCCATGAGCTGGGAGCAGTGTGTGTGCCTGTAATCTCAGTTATGTGGGAGGCTGAGGTGGGAGGATCACTTGAGCCCAGGAGTTCCAGACAAGACTGGGCAACATAGAAAGATTCCATCTAAAACAAACAAACAAACAAATAAATAAAAACAACCACACCAGCAAGAAGAAAGCAGACTGAAATATTTGTTTTGTTTCCTTTCCTTTTTTAATAGTAGAGACAGGGTCTCAGTATGTTGCCCAGGCTGGTCTCAAACTCCTGGGCTCAAGTGGTCCTTTTGCCTTGGCCTCCTCAAGTGCTGGGATTACATGGACTGAAATATTTAAAGAGTTGAAAGACCCCACTAACCTAGAATTCTATATCCAGTGGGATTATCCTTAAAAAGTGAAGAAGTATAAAGACAGAGGCCAGGTTACACCTGTAACCCAAACACTTTAAGAGTCTGAGGTGGGAGGATTGCTTGAGCCCAGGAGTTCAAGACCAGCCTGGCCAAGATAGTGAGACCCCTGTTTCTAATAAAAATTTTTAAAACTTTGCAGGGTGTGGTGACGCATGCCTGCAGTCCCAGCTACTTGGGAAGCTATGGTGGGAGGATGGTTTGAGCTCTGGAGTTCCAGGGTTACAGTGAGCTACAATCCCACCAATACACTCCAGCCAGGGTGACACAGTGAGACCCCAATCCCCCCCAAAATTTTAAAAAACAAATAAGTATGAAGACAGAGGTTAAAAGTAAAGAGATGAAAGACATACCATGCTAACACTGTCCAAAAGAATGCTGGAGCAACTATATTAATTTCAGAAAAAGGAAAATTATGGATAAAGAGGGGCACTACACAATAAAAAGGAGGTCACTTATTTAAGAGGCATAACAGTCCTTAATGTGTATATGCCGAAGAATAGAGTATCAAAATATGTGAGGCAAAAACTGATAGAACTGCAAAGAGAAACAGATTAATTCACTATTATCCTTGAAGACTTCAACACAGCTCTATTAGTAATTAATAGATCCTGACAGCGGCCGGGTGCAGTGGCTCACGCCTGTAATCCCAGCACTTTGGGAGGCCGAGGCGGGTGGATCACCTGAGGTCGGGAGTTCAAGACCAGCCTGACCAACACGGAGAAACCCCGTCTCTACTAAAAATACAAAATTAGCCGGGGTGGTGGCGCATGCCTGTAATCCCAGCTACTCGGGAGGCTGAGGCAGGAGAATCGCTTGAACCCAGGAGGCGGAGGTTGCAGTGAGTGGAGACAACTTGTTGCACTCCAGCCTGGGCAACAAGAGCAAAACTCTGTCAAAAAAAAAAAAAGATCCTGACAGCAGAAAATCAGTAAGCATCAGTAAGGACATAGTTGAACTCAACAGCACCATCAATGAACAGACTTAATTACCACTTACAAGATATAGGTTAGCCTTACTTTAAACAAAATTGGAAATACTAAAATACCTCCTTAGGAAACCAATAAATTTAGGTGTGATGTTTCATTATATGAAAGAATTTAAAATATATTCTATTCTTATTTTACCTGACTTTTCTTCTTCTTCTTCTTTTCTTTTTTTTTCTTTCTTTCTTTCTTTTTTTTTTTTTGTCGTTGTTGTTGAGACGGAGTCTTGCTCTGTCACCCAGGCTGGAATGCAGTCATGAGATCTCGGCTCACTGCAACCTCTGCCTCCCAGGCTCAAGTGACTCTCCTGCCTCAGCCACCCGAATAGCTGGCACGACAGGCACACGCCACCATGCATGGCTAATTTTTGCAGTTTTAGTAGAGACAGGGTTTTGCCATGTTGGCCAGGCTGGTCTCAAACTCCTGGCCTCAAGTGATCTGCCCGCCCTGGCCTCCCCAAGTGCTGGGATTACAGGCATGAGCCACCACGCCCGGCCTACCTAAGACCTTTAAAAGTTTTCCTTAACCATTTAAATTATGAATTCATTTAGAAGTTTACGGCTTACCTAATCAGAAACTGAGTTGTGATATGGATCATCATAAACCTCTGTAAATATTTGGAAAAGTGAACTCCAGAATTGCCAGTGGCTGTTACTTGTGATGAGATCAGCAAACAATCCCCTATAGAACTCTTGCCAGGGGGCTTGTCTTGTAATCTGTGATTTTTTTCCTAAGTCCGAAGCGGAGAGTGAAGGAGTGCCATTCCTCCACACCAAAGGTCCCACTTTTCAATGACAGTTAGGGAAAAGAGTATATAAGACAGCTCCTTCTGCAGGGCCAGCCACCTCCTTGCCTAGAAAATTATTGTCTGCTCCTTGTTAACTCCTCACATTCATTCGTTCTGTCAATAACATTTCCTGAGCATCTGCTATGGGCCAGGCACCACCTCAGATGACCACAAGCTATTCAGATCAATTGGCAGGTCATTAACATCACTGTGTGCATCAAAAATGATAATAGATTAGAAATATTGGAAGTTCTCGGCACAAGTTTTCTGCCCCATGTTGCATATGTTATCAACCAAATGATTCTCATGGGAGATGAAATGAGAGTCACTGCAAATCAAGGCCATCTCTTTTTTTTTGAGATGGAGTCTCGCTCTGTTGCCCAGGCTGGAGTGCAGTGGCACGATCTTGGCTCACTGCAAGCTCCGCCTCCCGGGTTCACGCCATTCTCCTGCCTCAGCCTCCCGAGCAGCTGGGACTACAGGCGCCCGCCACCATGCCCGGCTAATTTTTTGTATTTTTAGTGGAGACGGGGTTTCACCGTGTTAGCCAAGATGGTCTTGATCTCCTGACCTCGTGATCTGCCCGCCTCAGCCTCCCGAAGTACTGGGATTACAGGCGTGAGCCACCAAGCCCAGCCAAGGCCATCTCTTTATCCCTTTCTTCCTCTCTTCCTGCTCTCTGGCTGTGCACAATCAGGCTCCGGTTAACCAGTTGGGGCTTTTATTCTTGGGAGAACTTGAAAGTTCTCCCAGCCACATCAAAGCCTGTTCCTCTAGGACTCCAGGTAGCTGTGTTCACTGATTCCTTCATTCAGTCAGTACTCAACTAAGTGCAAGATGTGCACTTGAGGATGATCTAAAATACAAAGACAAATTAACCTCAGCCACTGCCCTCTAGTAGTTTGCAATTTATTGTATTCCTTCCCAATAGTTCTTGCAAAGTACTTACCCGTGTCCTGTATTTCACAAATTTGGTTTATGTCACTTAATTATGTTTTCTTTCCCACTTTTCATATATCTTGGAAGCACCACATGTGTTATGAGAAGAATATAATAATCTTTGTGTATGTATTGGTAATTTCATAATCGCCAAAACCACACCCTCCTTGGCATAGGTTTAAGAATCAGGAAATCTGGGCTTGAGACCCACTTGTGCTTGTGTGGCCCTCCGTCAGCCACTTAACCTCCCTTGAGTTTCAGTTACTTCACCTGTAAAATATTTCTGGCTTATGTATTGCACAGTTTTTGTGTATGTGTGGATCAAATGAGCAACTGTACAGGTAATCACTTTCACAATATCAAATGACATACAGATGGAAGTTGTTATTGTTAAAAGTTCGTGCCAGAATCAACCTCAGACTTTGCTTATGTGTACAATACAAATGCCATAGAAATAGTAACTAAGAACCGAGGGCCAGTGGCGCAATGGATAACGCGTCTGACTACGGATCAGAAGATTCTAGAAATAGTAACTAAGGGCAGAATTTGGCCCAGGGCACTTTTACCGCAGTTTTTTTTAAGGCAGATGAAAAAAATTAAAGACTTTTTACTCAAAACAGAAAACTTTAAAACAAGAATCAACACTTGCCAAGGACATGGTTTTTAAGTGGATCTTTATGACGGAAATTCAGAGGATGATGGAGACCTTCTGAGATGAGGAACTGAAAGAGAAAAGCCTTTAATGTTATCATCTTCCTCCTCCACCCTTGCACTGCCTTGCTTAGAATTCCTTATCTAATCAACTAGAGTCACACATCTTAACAGTCAAACAATAAAAATGGGATGCACTTTAAGTCTGGATCGTTAGAGGCCAAAAACAACCTGTTGTTCAGGCTGCAATCATCCTGCCCAGAGGGCACTGAGCTCCACTTTCACTTTTAAGGGAACTGCAAATAAAATGCCTTTCTCTCCTGGATTTTGAAATTTTTTCTGTTAAATCTGGTTAAAATACACATTATGTTCACAGAACCTAGCAAAGAAGCAAACTTTATGCTATGAAATGTTAAGTAAAAGAAAGTGCAGTGACATGTTGGGAAGGAAGGGCCTCAGATAATCCAAGTTTCTCCAGCTTGGACGCCTATGTGTTATGGCTGATTCTAGAAAACTAGAAATAGGAGCGGTTAGTGCAAGTCCGCTTGGTGTGGAGATCAGGATGGTGACAATGAGAAGGGGTGAAGGGAATTGGAGGGTACTAACTACTTCAATTAAAAACAACAGAGGCCAGCCATGGTGGCTCACATCTATGTTCCTAGCACTTT
Source organism: Homo sapiens (assembly GCF_000001405.40). Taxonomy (NCBI): domain Eukaryota; kingdom Metazoa; phylum Chordata; class Mammalia; order Primates; family Hominidae; genus Homo; species Homo sapiens. The sequence goes on from NC_000006.12 coordinate 18,054,233, forward strand.
GGGAGCATGAGGTGGGAGGATGGCCTGAGCCCAGGAGTTCGAGGGTGCAGTGAGCTGTGATCACAACACAGCCCTCCAGTCTGGGTGACAAAGCAAGACCCTAACTCAAAAAACAAAACAAAACAAAAAGCCACCACCAACAAAGGAAATCTCACACCCACTGTAGGTGTCTACTATCAAAAACACAGAAAATAACAAGAGTCAGTAAGCATGTGGAGAAATTGGAACTCTGTGCACTGTTGCTGTGAATGTAAACTGGTGCAGCTGCTATGGAAATAGTATAGTGGCTTCTCAAAAAATTAAAACCAGAATTACCATATGATCTAGCAATTCCACTTCTGGGCATCCAAAAGAATGGGAAGCAAGATCTCAAAGAAGCATTTGCATACCCATGTTCATCGCAGCATTATTCACAATAGCCAGAAGATGGAAGCAATTCAAGTATGCATTTGTGGATGGACGGATAAACAAAATGTGGTCTATACATCCAGTGGAATATTATTCAGCCTTAAAAAGGAAGGACATCAAGGCCAGGTGCAGTGGCTCACGCCTATAATCCCAGCACTTTGGGAGGCCGAGGCAGGTGGATCACCTGAGGTCAGGAGCTCAAGACCAGCCTGGTCAACATGGTGAAACCCCGTCTCTACTAAAAATATAAAAATTAGTCAGGCATGGTGCTACACATCTGTAATCCCAGCTACTCAGGAGGCTGAGGAGGCAGAATCACTTGAACCTGGGAGACAGAGGTTGCAGTGAGCCGAGATCGCGCCACTGAACTCCAGCCTGGGCAACAGAGTGAGACTCGGTTTCAAAAAGTAAATAAATAAATAAATAAATAAATAAACCTTGAGGACATTATTCTCAGTGAAATAAGCTAGTCACAAATGACAAATATTGTATGGATCCACTTATAGGAGGTACCTAGAGCATTCAAATACATAGAGACAGAAAGTAGAATGATGGTTGCCAGGGACTTGGGGGAGGAGAAAATGGGCAATTTCTGTTCAATGGGCACAGTTTCATTTCTGCAAGATGAAAAAGTTCTGGAGACCTGTTGTACCACAATGTAATAATACTTAACACCACAGAAGCTACTGAAACTTAATTAAAAATGATTGACATTGTAAATTGCATGTTATTTTTATCACCATTTAAAATTTAAAAATTATTTTAAAAATTGAAAAAAAAAAGAACAAAGAGGAAAAGAAAAACCTAAATGAAACCTCACTGCCCAGATTAACCTTATAGTTAATGATGAATTTCTATGTTCAAAGATTCTGGTGGTTTCCCATTCCTGTAAGGTCCAAACTCCTTACAACATTCAAGGGCTTCTTGGAGGTGGCCTCAATGACCCAGCCTCTGAGTCTTACCTTCCACCACCTCTTACAAGCTCTAGCTTCTATAGTCCCTGTACCCTTCTGCACTCTCATCTCCATGATTTTTTTTTTCCAGCCAAAATCTCATCCACTCCTCTGCGTCCGTCCACATGTCCTGGGAAGCCTTCCCTGATCACCTCAGAGGTAAACAGCTCCCCTTCACTGGGTTTATATTTTGCAATTCATCACTGTGTTCTAAGTGTTTGTGAATATATCTCTTAGGAACAGGTCAGCTCCCTGCAGGCAGAGTTAGCACCATATTCATTCAGCATCTTCACGGCACTGGTAATAACAAATATTTGATGTCAGGCAAATCATGTCACTAATCCTCCAGCGGTCACAGTGACTTATACAAGGGCTTCAAAGGATGACATAGTTTCCCCCCAACTGTCACCTCTACTTCTCCGTTCTTGGCTCCTACCACTGTCCCCTTGCTCCATCCCCTCCAACTTCTGCGGCTTCTTTGCTGTTTGCTGGATTCCCTGGGTGTATTCTCACTTTCTGGCCTTTACACAGGCTGATTTCTCTCCCTGAAGGGTTCCTCTCTCAGATTTCTACATGACTCACTCCTCTACCTTCCTCAGGTCTTACTCAAAAGTTACCTTCTGGAAACACCCTTTCCTAAACATCCTATTTAGAACTACAACCCAGTCCCATTTCCCATCCAGCACTCCCTACCCTGTTTCCCATCTTCATTTTTCTCCATTGCATTTACACCAGGTGGCTTGTATTTTATTTATTTGATCTTTGTCTCTTCAGTGGAATGTAAGCTCCATGAGGGCTGGTGTTCTTTTACATTACTCATCGATTAAAAAAAAATCTTGGCCAGGCAAGGTGGCTCAAGCCTATAATCCCAGCACTATGGGAGACCGAGGCGGATGGATCATCTCAGGTCAGGAGTTCAAGACCAGCCTGGTCAACATGGTGAAACCCCATCTCTACTAAAAATACAAAAATTAGCTGGATGCGGTGGCAGGCGCCTGTAATCCCAGCTATTTGGGAGGCTGAGGCAGGACCATCGCTTGAACTGGTCACTGGAAGGCGGAGGTTGCAGTGAGCCGAGATCGTACCATTGCACTCCAGCCTGGGTGACAAAGTGACACTCTGTCTCAAAAAAAAAAAAAAAGAAAAGAAAAAGAAAAAAGAATCTTCAGTCTCCTGCAGTGCTGGCACATAGTAGACTTTTAATAAATAGTTGTCCAATTAATTGAATGAATGAATGAACGGCTATAGAAAGCATTTGCAGTATAAGATTATTGAATAATTTCTGATTGTTATCAAAGTATTTTTTCTGTGAGTGCTCATCCCGGGCTTGGAAAAAAAAGTGAGCACATTTTGCAATACAAGCTCTGCTCTGTCTTCACTGCACAGGATTTAACCTGTACTAACAGCAATTGATTGATGTTTTTCTGTTGGCACACTGTTTAATCATTTCCTGTCACAAACTGAAGCAAAGGTCATGTTAGATAAGCACTCAATTAAGTCTTTAGATGATGGTGACGTGTAAACAGCTTATTAGTCTATACATGTAATTAATTTTAACATTACTTTGCAGGTTGCTTTAATTCTGTAGTAACACAGTCCCTGCTAATTTGCTGCCTATATTCCATTATGGTTCTTAATCTTTTATTAAGTCCCCCCATCCCCCTCCTGCTGTTCCTGCCGCATTTTCTTGTAAAAAATTTCAAACATAGGCAAGTTGGAAGATTTTACAGTGAATCTCCACACTCCTGTCCTTTTGATTCTACTATTTACATTTAACACACTTGCTTTAACACTTAACTATCAATCCCCAATTAAGCCACTTTTAAAAAGTTATCCACTCATCCATTCTAATTAAGTATTTTATTTTCCCTCAAGTGTGATTTGGGGTTAGAAATGCAAATTCTTGAATCCCAACCTAGGCCTACTGTATCCAAAACTGGGAGGGAGGTCTCAAGGTGGTTGGGGCTGGGGTAGGGAAGAACAACCACAATCTGTGTTTTTGTTTTTGTTGTTGTTGTTGTTTTGTTTTGTTTTTGAGACAGCATCTTGCTCTGTCACCCAAGCTGGAGAGCTATGGTGCAGTCTTGGCTCACTGCAACCTCCGCCTCACAGGTTCAAGCAATTCTTCTGCCTCAGCCTCCCAAGTAGCTGGGATTACAGGTGTGCGCCACCATGCCCAGCTAATTTTTGTATTTTTAGTAGAGAGGGGGGTTTCATCATGTTGGCCAGGCTGGTCTCGAACTCCTGACCTCAAGTGATCCACCTGCCTTGGCCTCCCAAAATGCTGGGAGTACAGGCGTGAGCCACTGAGCCCAGCCTCACAATCTGTATTTCTGACAAATTCTCCAGTGATTCTGAAGCTAGTTCAAGTTTGAGAAGCACCATTTTAAATAAACCTATGTGACTCAGTCTACCTGTTTCCATGGAGATCCACTCGCACCATTGAAGTTAGAGGTCTCCTCCGGTGCGTTACCAAAGGGAGACCCTAATGATACAGCTGTACCCAGGAGCCTTCCTCCATCACACACATGCCAACTTATTTGTCAACATTAACTGGTGCAGTACAGTTTTAGTGATGTGGTTAAGAAGTTCAGGCTCTGGAACTAAATAGATCTGGGATGGAATCTCAGCTCCACCAAGCTATATGGATTCAGCTAAGTTACTTTTCCTTTGTGAGCCTTGTTTTCTCATCTTTAAAGTGGAGTATGGAAGAGCACATCCCTCACAGCAAATAGTTATCCAGCCTCTTCTGTGCATCAAGCATTGTAGATCCTGTTCTGGATGCTGGGGAAGTAGTGGTGAGGCAAGGCAAAGCTCAGTTCTCTTGGAACCTTCATTCTATAGGAGAAACTTACAGTAAACACACACAAATAGAAATAATTTCAGGCTGGGCATGGTGGCTCATGCCTGTAAACCCAGCACTTTAGGGTTGGGGCCAGGAGGATCGCTTTGAGCTCAGGAGTTGGAGACCAGCCTGGGCAAAATGTTGAAACCCTGTTTCTATTTAAAACAAACAAACAAGCAAACAAAACAAACAAATTATCTAGGCATGGTGGCATGCGTCTGTGGTTCCAGCTATCTGGCTACTTGAGAGGCTGAGGTGGGAGGATCACGTTGAACCCGACAGGTCAAGGCTGCAGTGAGCCATGATCGTACCACTGCACTCCAGCCTGGGTGACAGAGTGAGATCCTGTCTCAGAAAGAAAAAAAAAAAAAAAAGAATTTCAGAGAGTGAAGAATGCTAAGGAGACTGTAAAACAGACTATTGAGACCAAATGACTTACTTTAAAATTCGAGGTTAGGAAAAGCCTCTCTGAGAAGGTGAAGAAATACAGAGGGGCAGAAAGCCAGTGTGGGTGCAGGACAGTGGGAGAAAGTGACGCCAGAGAAGAGGGCAGGAGCCAGTGCAGAGCCATCCTTTATTGTAGAGAGTTTGGCTTTAATTCTTATTGCAGCAGGGAGCGATTCCTGCTTCCTATTCATCCCCCACACCATGCCCTGCATTTCAGGTGCAAATTTCATAATCTGGTCCCAATCAAGTTATGTGTGCCTCTTTCTTCCTCCCTTTCTGCCTGCCTCCTTTCCTTCCTCCTCTTGCTCATCCTCTTTCCATCAACATCAAACACTGATCAAGTATCTCTGTTAGGTTGTAGGGACGCTAAGGGGATGGTGTCCTCAAGATTTATCTATGTTGTAGCATGTGACAGGATCTCCTTCCGTTTTAAGGCTGAATAACATTTCATTGAAGTATGTACCACATTTTGTTTATTTACTCATCTTTGAGATTCTGCTTTAATTCTTTTGGAATATACCCAGAAATGGAATCGCTGAATCTTGCGGGAATTACATTTTTAACTTTTGGAGGAGCCACCAATTGTTTTTCATAGTCACTGCACCATTTTACAATCCCATCAACAGTGCACAAGTGTTCCAATTGCTCTTCATGCTTGCCAACATTTGTTATTTTCTTTTTTTTTCTTTTGAGACGGAGTCTCGCTCTGTCGCCCAGGCTGGAGTGCAGTAGCGTGATCTCCGCTCGCTGCAAGCTCCGCCTCCCGGGTTCATGCCATTCTCCTGCCTCAGCCTCCTGAGTAGCAGGGACTATAGGCGCCCGCCACCATGCCTGGCTAATTTGTTTGTATTTTTAGTAGAGACGGGGTTTCACCATGTTAGCCAGGATGGTCTTGATTTCCTGACCTCGCGATCGTCTGCCTCGGCCTCCCAAAGTGCTGGCATCACAGGCGTGAGCCACTGTGCCTGGCCAACATTTGTTATTTTCTATTTGTTCGGCTTTCTTAAAAAAGTAGCCATCCTGGCAGGCTGTGGTGCTCACTCCTGTAATCCCAGCACTTTGGGAGGCTGAGGCAGGAGGATTGCTGGAGCCCAAGAGCTCAAGACCCACCTGGGCAACATAGTGAGACCTCTGTCTCTATTAAAAAATTTTTTTAAATTAAAAATAAATTTAAAGTAGCCACCCTAATGGTGTGAGGTTATATCTCAATGTGGTTTGATTTGCATTTCTCTAATGATTTATTATGTTAAGCCTCTTTTCATATGCTTGTTGGCTATTTGTATATCATCTTTGGAAAAATGTCTATTCAAGTCCTTTGCCCATTTTTTAACTGGCATTTTAAAAAATTGTTGAGTTGTGGGAGTTCTTTATATATTCTGGTTATTAACTCCTTATTAGATATATGATTTGCAAATGTTTTCTCCCATTCTGTAGTTTGTCTTTTCACTCTGTTGGCTGTCCTTTGATGCATGTAATGCCCCTCTAGAGCTTGACAAATAAATCTTCCTGTAAAGTCTGCTTTATCTGATATTAGTAGAACTACCCTAGATTTACTTGGGTTAGTGTATTTTGGTTAATGTATACATATCTTTTTTTCATCACTTTATTTCAGTCTTTCTATGTCTTTATAATTAAAATCCATCTTTTTTTGAGCAGCATATACTTGTTGTTTTCTTTTATTCCAGACTTCAATCTTTGTTCCTTTTTTTTTTTTTTTTTTTTTTTTGATGGAGTCTCACTCTGTCATCCAGGCTGGAGTGCAGTGGTGCTATCTCGACTCACTGCAACCTCCACCTCCCAGGTTCAAGCAATTCTCGTGCTTCAGCCTCCCAAGTAGCTAGGATTACAGGGGTGCACCATGACGCCCAGCTAATTCTTTGTATTTTTAGTAGAGATGGAGTTTCACCATGTTGGCCAAGCTGGTCTAAAACTCCTGACCTCAAGTGATCCACCAGCCTCGGCCTCCCAAAATGCTGGGATTACAAGCGTGAGCCACTGTGCCCGACCTGAAATCTTTGTTCTTTATTTTATTATTATTATTATTATTATTTTGAGATGGAGTCTCACTCTGTCGCCCAGAGTGGAGTGCAGTGGTCCGATCTCAGCTGACTGCAACCTCCGCCTACCGGGTTCAATTGATTCTTGTGCCTCAGCCTCCTGAGTAGCTGGGATTACAGATGTGCACCACCATGCCTGGCTAATTTTTGTATTTTTAGTAGAGACGGGGTTTTGCCACGGTGGTCAGGCTGTTCTTGAACTCCTAACCTCGTGATCCGCCCCCTTGGCCTCCCAAAGTGCTGGGATTACAGGCATGAGCCACCACGCCCAGCCAATCTTTGTTCTTTAATTGAAGTATTTAGTCGATTTACATTTTATATAATTTCTGACATATAGGAGTTCAGAGTGTGGGGTGTATGGAGCTTTTTGATGCCTTTAATCAGTTTATTTAAATTCTCAGTTATTATTACTTTAAATATGGTTTGTGGCTAATCTCTTTTTCTTCTCCTTTTGGACCTCTGATTAAATACACATTAGTCTACAAATTTCATGTATCTCTTATGCTCTTTTCTGTGTTTTCCATTCATACTTTTTCTTGTTATGCTTAAATTTGAATATTTTATGCTGATGTATCTTCTGGTTCATGATTCCTCTCATTATTTATTCATTTATTTTGGAGATGGAGTCTTGCTCTGTTGCCTGGCACGGTCTCGGCTCGCTCTAAGCTCCGCCTCCCAGGTTCACGCCATTCTCCTGCCTCAGCCTCCCGAGTAGCTGGGACTACAGGCGCCCGCCACCATGCCCGGCTAATTTTTTTTTTTTTGTATTTTTAGTAGAGACGGGGTTTCACCATGTTAGCCAAGATGGTCTCGATCTCCTGACCTCGTGATCCGCCCGCCTCGGCCTCCCAAAGTGCTGAGATTACAGGCGTGAGCCACCACGCCTGGCCTCTTTCTTTTATTTTTTTGAGACAGAGTCTCACTCTGTTGCCCAGGCTGGGATGAAGTAGCATGTTCATGGTTCACTGCAGCCTCGATCTCTAGGTTCAAACAATCCTCCTACCTCAGCTTCCTAAGTAGCTGGGACTACAGGCACATGCCACCACAATCAGCTAAATTGTTGTTGTTGTTGTTGTTGTTGAGACGGGGTTTTGCCATGTTGCCCAGGCTGGTCTTGAACTCCTGGGATCAAGTGACCTGCCTGCCTCAGCCTCCGAAAGTGCTGGGATTACAGGTGTGAGCCACCACACCTGGCTCAATTCTTCTCTTTTGGGACTGTGCTTATCTGCTTAATTTAACTTTTTTTTTTTTTTAGTTTTATAATTTCCACTTGATTCTTTTTTATATAAATCCCATTCTTCTGATGAAATTCTCCATTTTCTAACTGATTTCTCGAACACACTAATCATGGTTACTTTAAAGTTTTGTTCTGGTAACTCCAATATCTGGTCACCTGTGAGTCTCTATTGTCTATTTTTTCTCTCAGTTTTTGGTCATTTATTACTCCTTTCTAACATATCTACTAAATACTGATTGAATTCCAGACACTGTGGAAAAGTTATAAGAGATCTAGATGATATTATCTTCCTTCAGAGAAGATTAATTTCATTTTTTTTTTTTTAGCATGCAGTTAGTAAGAGCCAAGCAAGTTCGTCAAATCAGAGATTGAGATGAGTAAAAGCTAAATTTCAAGCTTTGAGAGGGCTTATTTCTGGAGTCCCTTAGTCTTAGCACAATAGTTCTAAACCGAGGGTGATTTTAATCTCCAGGGAACATTTGGCAATATCTGGGGACATTTTTGATTGCCACAAACTGGGGCTGTGTGCTTCTGATGTCTGACACAAGTTGGAAGTGGTAGAGGCCAGATATGCTGTTAAACATCCTACAATATGTAGGAGAGCCCCCCAATAAAAAAGAATTATCTAGTCCAAAATGTTAATAGTACCAAGATTAAGAAACCTTGCTCTAGGGCTTAGTCCTTTAAGATTCTCAATGGAAAGCTACAGTATTTATCACGGCTTCTCATCTTTGGCAGGCCTTGAGCTCCAGTTTTTCTCCCAGTATTATGAGACTGCCAAAACCTTTGTTTACCTTTATAGTCTTTCAGCAGCTGCTTTCTGCTTGCTTTTTCAGTCTCTTGCCCTACTTTGCAGTTTAGGAATTAGCACATGCTTTAAGTGGGCAAAGTAATAATTTATGTTGGTGTCACCTATCCAGGATCTTGGCTCCTTAAGTCCTGGCTGATTTTGTTGATTTCCGATGCCTTAAAGAAGCTGTTTTTGTTGTTTTGCATGTTGATATTATTGTTTTGCATTTTTATACAGCTTTGATATTTATTCCTATTGTGATGGTATTAGGGATCCAAGGTACTCTGTTATAGCCAGAGTGTAAGTTTGCTATGTTTGCATGTAATTGAGTGAGTTTAACTCCATTTTGACAGTCCTTCAGCTAATAACATCTCCCAAAAGAAATCAGGTATACAGATTGCTCTAGAGTTAAATAACAATCATTTTTGTTCACTATTTAAATAAAAACATGTAGGTTTTAGTTTTTGCCTAAATACATGAAATATAAAGACATTTTAATGATAACATACCTTATAAATATTTGCTCACTATAGATAACTTAGAAAAACCAAAAAAAAAAGAAGAAAATAACAAATAAACATATTTTCCACCATGCAAAAACAGCATCAGGAAAATTTTGGTATAGTTCCTTTCAGTGTTTCTCCTGTGTATGTGCAATGCTTTTGTTTCCAGGACTAACTCATAGGCCTTTATGTTTTTTATTTTTTTATTTTTATTTTTTGAGACGGAGTTTTGCTCATGTTGCCCAGGCTGGAGTGCAGTGGCACAATCTCGGCTCACCGCAACCTCAACCTCCCAGGTTCAAGCAATTCTCCTACTCAGCTTCCCAAGTAGCTGGGATTACAGGCATGTGCCACCATGCCCAGCTAATTTTGTATTTTTAGTAGAGACGGGGTTTCTCCATGTTGGTCAGGCTGGTCTTGAACTCCCGACCTCAGGTGATCCGCACCCCCCCCCCCACCCCTTGGCCTCCTAAAGTGCTGGGATTACAGGCATGAGCCACCACGTGCGGCCTGTAGACCTTTATTAATTTACTTTGCATTTTGTTTTAACAGTATAATTTACATATTGAAGTATAATTTGCATACAGTAATATTGTGTACAATTCAGTAATTTTTAGTAAATGTACAGAGTTGTACAACTGTCACCATAATCCAACTTTAGAACATTTCCATCTTGTCAAAAAGAAACTTCATGCCCATTTACACTCAGTCCTTGGTCCAAGCCCCAGCCCCAGGCAACCACTAATCTACCTTCTGTCTCTATAGATTGGCCTATACATCTTCCATTTTATTAGTAAAGTTAGCTTGTTTTTAACAAAGTCATCCAATTTTAATTATATAATTCTTTCAGTCCTATCCAAATGAAATTGAGCAAGTTTAAATAAAGATGGCTGTTGTGAGAGATACAGACATTTGTGGGATGTGTGTGTGTGTGTGTGTGTGTGTTTGCATGTGTGTGTGTTTGCAGATGATGCAAATCTTTTAAAGACTGTGGCATGTTTGCCTCCATTATTTTATGTATTTCTAATTTTCTTTTTGAGATATACTTCATGTAACATAAAATTCACCCTTTTAAATTTGGTGTTTATGCAACTATCAACACTATCTAATTCCAAAACATTTTCATCACCACAAAAAGAAATCCCATCCACACCAGGCCTAGTGGCTCATGCCTATAATCTCAGCCCTTTGGGATGCTGAGGCAGGAGGATCGCTTGAACCCAGGAATTCAAGACCAGCCTGGGCAATATCATGAAATCCTGACTCTACAAAAAAATACCAAAAAAATAGCCTGGTGTGGTAGTGGGCTTCTGTAGTCCCAGCCTCTTGGGAGGCTGTAATAGTCTCTTTTCATGCTGCTGATAAAAACATACCTGAGACTGGGAAGAAAAAGAAGTTTAATTGGACTTACAGTTTCACATGGCTTGGGAGGTCTCAGAATCATGGCAGGGGGCGAAGGCACTTCTCACATGGCGGTGGCAAGAGAAAATGAGGAAGAAGCAAAAGCAGAAACTCCTGATAAACCCATCAGATCTCATGAGACTTATTCACTATCATGAGAATAGCACAGGAAAGACTGGCCCCCATGATTCAATTACCTCTCCCTGGGTCCCTCCCACAACACGTGGGAATTCTGGGAGATACAATTCAAGCTGAGATTTGGGTGGGGACACAGCCAAACCATATCAGAAGCTGAAGTGGGAGGATCACTTGAGCCTGGGAGTTCGAGACTGCAGTGAGACAAGATCACACCACTGCACTCCAGCCTGGGCAACAGAGTGAGACTCTGTCTCAAAAAAAAAAAACCAAAAAGAAATTCCACTCCCATTATCAGTCACTCCCCATTCCCCTCCCCCACCCAGCCCTTGGGAACCACTGCTAAACCAGGGGTCCCCAACCCTGGGGCCGTGGACCAGTACCAGTTGGTGGCCTGTTAGGAACTGGGCCACACAGCAGGAGGTGAGTGGTGGGTCAGCGAGCATTACCGCCTGAGCTCCGCCTCCTGTCAGATCAGTGGAGGCATTAGATTCTCATAGGAGCCGGAACCCTATTGTGAACTGTGCATGCAGGCATCTAGGTTGCGTGCTCCTTATGAAAATCTGATGCCTGATGATCTAAAGTAAAACAGTTTCATCCTGAAACCATCCCCTCACCGCTCCCCGCTACCTCCCAACGGGTCCATGGAAAAATTGTCTTCCACAAAACCGGTCCCTGGTGCCAAAAAGGTTGGGGACCACTGTGCTAAACTACTTTGTGTCTCTATGGATTTGCCTGTTCTGGACATTTTGTATAAACAGAATCACACGGTAGGTGGCCTTCTGTGTCTGGCTTCTTTCACTTAGCACAACAATATTTTCAAGGCTCATTCATGTTTTAGCCTGTGTCAGTACTTTATTCTTTTGTTTGTTTCATAAAACAAACACAAAACAGTCTCACTGTGTCACTCAGGCTGGAGTGCAGTGGTGCGATCTTGGCTCACTGCAGCCTTCACTTCCTGGGTTCAAGAGATTCTTGTGCCTCAGCCTCCTGAGTAGCTGGGATTACAGGCACGTGCCACCAGGCCTGGATAATTTTTGTATTTTTAGTAGAGGCAGGGTTTCACTGTGTTGGTCAGGCTGGTCTTGAACTCCTGACTTCAGGTGATCCACCTGCCTCGGCCTCCCAAAGTGCTGAGATTACAGGTGTGAGCCACTGCACCGGGCCAGTGCTTCATTCCTTTTTATGCCAAATAACATTCTATTTTATGAATATGTCACATTTTGTTTATTCACTAATCTGTTGATGGACATTGAGGTTGTTTCTACTTTACTTAATAATATTTTAGTTAATATAACTTAACTAGTGGAAAGGGGAGAAAATTATTACTGGGGTGGTATGATATTATATGTATGTTGGTTTTTGTCCACAATTCCTGGCTCATAACTCCCATAGCCCTTGTTAATTTCCTAAGTGACTAAAATAGTAAGCATATCTTTCCTTAACATATTGTTCCTTAACATATTGTTCCTTAACATATCTTTTGTCCTTGATTCCTGAAGCAGCTTCCGAATGGCTCCAGAGCAATAAAGGTGAGACAATCTTTTGTTATAATATTGGGGCATTTTAGGCCTTAGAAAACAGAATCTCACTCTCTGACCTCCTGCCCCCCTTTTATCTTCTTTTTCTCCTCCATGCAGGCTACAGAAACTAAAAATATATTCTAATCTTCTGACTTGAAATTCTCTGAACTGCCTTCCTTGTCTGATTTTAGGTTGTAAGACCCCCAGTCCGAAGGGGTCCTGTCCCATACTCGGGAAGAAGGAACGCTGCATAGACAGGCCAGGAAGAATCTCGGCCTTACCGGGTTTCCCCACTCAATCTATAAGCATTAGATCATACTCTTTTTGTCCAATCACAGTTCTCCTTGGTTGTCAATCATACCTATCCAATAAAATCTCCATAAAAGGCCCAAGAGGATAAGGTATGGGAAACTTTTGCACAGCTGAAGTTCTGGAGGCTTGCAAGAAAATGAACAAGAATTCATCCGCCTGCCGGGAGGGTGGCGCATCCCTCTCCACGGGAACTGAGGCTCCTGCAGTCAGGACCCTTTCAGACCTCACCCTATGTATCTCTTCATCTGGCTATTTATTTGTATCTTTTAAAATAGCCTTTAAAATAAATCAGTAAACCTAAGTGTTTCCCTGAGTTTTGTGAGCCACTTTTAGCAAATTAATCGCGCATAAAGTGGTGGTCACCCAACTTGAAGTGGATTGGTCAGAAGTTCAACAGGCTTGGGCTTGCAACTGGCGTCTAAAGGAAAGGCGATCTTGTGGGACTGAGCCCTCAGTCTGTGGGATCTGACACTATCTCCAGGTGGATAGCGTCAGAATTGAATTGGAGAACACCCAGCTAGTGTCTGCGGCAGAACTGATTGCTTCCTGTTAGTGGGGAAAAAATCCCCACACATTTGGTCACAGACATCTTCAGTGTTGATTTTTGTGGTGTGAGAGCACACGTAGTGTATCTGCACTTCTCTAATAATCTCAAGAATACATTGGCCGGGCGCAGTGGCTCACGCCTGTAATCCCAGCACTTTGGGAGGCTGAGGCGGGCGGATCACAAGGTCAGGAGATTGAGACCATCCTGGCTAACACGGTGAAACCCCGTCTCTACTAAAAATACAAAAAATTAGCTGGGCGCGGTGGCGGGCGCCTGTAGTCCCAGCTACTCAGGAGGCTGAGGCAGGAGAATGGCGTGAACCCGGGAGGCGGAGTTTGCAGTGAGCTGAGATCGCGCCACTGCACTCCAGCCTGGGCGATACAGTGAGACACTCCGTCTCAAAAAAAAAAAAAAAAAAAAAAAAAAAAAAAAAAAAAAAAAAAGAATACATTAACTGAAATTTATAGTAGAGAACACAATGATATCATAAAGAAAAATAAAACAGAAAAGATATTAACATAAGAGCTAAGCTTTTTTTTTTTTTTTTTTTTTTTTTTTGAGACGGAATCTCGCTCTGTCACCCAGGCAGGGGTGCAGTGGCACAATCTCGGCTGAGCTCACTGCAACCTCCGCCTCCTGGGTTCAATCGAGTCTTGTGCTTCAGCCTCCTGAGTAGCTGGGATTACAGGCGCACAGCACCGAGTCTGGCTGATTTTGTATTTTTAGTGGAGACGGGGTTTTACCACGTTGGCCAGGCTGGTCTCGAACTCCTGACCTTAAGTGATCCGCCCACCTCGGCCTCCCAAAGTGCTGGGCTTACAGACGTGAGCCACCCCACCTGGCCGAGCTAAGCTTCTTTTAAGGCTCTGATTGACATGAAATAACATCTAAGCCCAAATTTCTGTTTATTCAAACTGGAATGAGCAATATGCTCAAAAATTGTTATGAAAACTGAAAAATAACAGAAATTAGAGCTGTATTCTAAGGGTAAAAACACACTTAGAGTAATATTCTGCCAACAAAGAAGCAGTGTATGTGGAGTGGGTGGGAAGTGACAGAGGTGGGCATGTGGATCCTTCTGTTGCTAATAATAAAAATTCCTAGAGCACCGAGTCTCCACATGGCAATGTGATTGAGAAGAACCATATATTACTCCTTTCATTTCCACTCTTTGAGGGAGCCTCTTTGTTCCGAATTTCAGCTGTCCCTCAAAGAGCATGCAGGGCCTTCAGTTGATACAAGGAGGAGCTCATGAAGCCAATTAATTTTTTGTTCCTTCTCACAGTGACAAACTATAATCCTCAACCATTTGTGTTGCAAATATGGGTCATGGTGAGAAACTATGGGCAGTGTGATCTTCAGACTGGCTGTGCATTTACACATTCATGTACACACACACACTCATGCACAAATTCAACTTTCTCAGCTCCAGTCCCACCACAGGACAGCCTATATTTATTAGGTGTCCCAAGTGATTGTGACGTAGCTGATCTATTTTTTTTTTTTTTTGAGACAGAGTCTTGTACCCAGGCTGGAGTGCAGTGGCATGATCTCAGCTCACTGCAACCTCTGCCTCCTGGGTTCAAGCAATTCTCCTGCCTCAGCCTCCCGAGTAGCTGGGATTACAGGCATGCACCACCACACCCAGCTGATTTTTGTGTTTTTAGTAGAGACAGGGTTTCACTTTGTTGGTCAGGCTGGTCTCAAACTCCTGACCTCAGGTGATCCACTCACCTTGGCCTCCCAAAATTCTGGGATTACAGGCATGAGCCACTGCACCTGGCCTGAACTGAATTGTGGTTTTGACTTTTTTTTTTTTTTTTTTTTTTTTTTGAGATAGGGTCTTACTCGGTCATCCAGGCTGGAGTGCAGTGGTGCAATCATAGCTCACTGCAACATTGAACTTCTAGGCTCAAGCGATCCTCCTTCCCCAGCCTGCTGAGTAGCTGGGACTATAGGCACATCACCATGCCTGGCTAATTTTTGTATTTTTGGTGGAGTTGGAATCTCACTATGTTGCTCAGGCTGGTCTTGAGCTCCTGGGCTCAAGTGATCCTCCTGCCTCAGCCTCCCAAAGACTCTTTGAAACTAGAGTAAATTGGAATTTTCCCTGCCTCATTTTCCAATAGATTGGCATTTCTCCCATTGTTTAGCCTATAACCTCCACTCACCTCTGGTTTTCTGCTATTTGTCATGAGCTCCTACGGAAGTGCTAAGGGAAGGCAAGGAAGAGGAGGGTATTTGGGAAGGGGAAGGGCAGGGACAGGCCTGCAATCTGTCACCCAGCGAGGCAGCATGGAGGTATGCTACCCAGGTCTCGCTTCAGGAGAACAGGTTGTGGGGAGGGCAGGTGACTGACAGCCCCCAGCCCTCGGGTGTGTTGCAGTGTTCATGCCTGGAACACATCCCCTGAGCTGCTCCCAACCAATGACTGAGCTTGCAGGGGTGCTAGGCCAGATGCTGAAGAACTTGGATTCTCCAGACAGTTGGAGCTGAGCCTGAGCTCAGCTCTTCCCCACCTTCCTGTCTTTTCTCACTCCACAGATGTCACACCTCATTGCAGTCTGAGACTCTACTTTCTCTTATTTCCTCTCCCTTTTTTCCCTCACAGGAACTTCCCTCATAAACTCTTGCTCGTTTTATTAGTCTGCTCTGGCTGCCGATAAAGTACCACAGACTGGGTGGCTTAACAAAAATTAAGCCAATTTATTACTGGGTAGAAGTCCACGATCAACGTGTTGGCAGAGTGGGTTCCTTTGGCGATCTCTCTCCTTGACTTGTAGATGGTTTGGATGTTTGTCCCCTCCAAATCTCATGTTGAAATGCGACCCCCAACATTGGAGGTGGACCTAGTGGGAGGTGTTTGGGTCATGGGGGTGGCTGCCTTGTGAATGGCTTGGTGTCCTCCTCTCAGTAATGAGTGTTAGTTCATGCAAGATCTGGTAGTTTAAAAGACACTGGCACCTCCCCATTTCTCTGGCTTCCATTCTGGCCATGTGACATGCCTGAGCTCCCTTCGATCTTCTGCCCTGATTGAAAGCTTCCTGAGGCCCCACCAGAATCCAAGCAGATGCTGGTGCCATGCTTGTACAGCCTGCAGAACTGTGAGTCAATTCACCTTTTTCCCATTTGCCCAGAGAATACTTGCTGGCAACACTTGCGGCTGCAGTGTTTACCCTGAGATAACTTTACCGTGAAATATCTCGCTTTTATTATTTCCACATCACTTAGTATATCAACTTTGGAAACAAAAGACATCATTCTCTATATAGCATTCTGTTTTTAGTAGTGGTATTTTCATTTACAAAACATAGTAATTCTCGGTCGCTGAAAATGTCAAATCCTAGAAAACGTAGCATTCCTACATGTGATGTTAACATCGTTCCCGAACAGTTTTTGGCCGAAGATTCACTTGATGAATATGATTTTTCTGAAATAGACAATTCTGATGATTCAGATGTTAGTTCTGTTTAGAAATAACCACAAGAACAGTGTTTAAATTTTATTTTCACATTGAAAATCAGTCAGATTTGCTTCAGCCCCAAAGAGCATGTTTATGTAAAAATTAAATGAGCACTGGCAGCCAGCTGCACTTTTTTTTTCTAAATGGGAAAGGGACAAACCTCTTTTCTTTATAAGTCACCCAGTCTCGGGTATTCCTTAATAGCAATGCAAAAGAGATTTAATAAAATGGCCATTTTCCCTGTGTCTTCACACCATCTTCCTTCTGTGTGTCTGTGTCTTTTTTTTTTTTGAGATGGAGTCTTGCTCTGTCACCCAGGCTGGAGTGCAATGGTGTGATCTTGGCTCATTGCAACCCCTGCCTCCCAGGTTCAAACGATTCTCCTGCTTCAGCCTCCTGAGTAGCTGGGATTACAGGCGCGTGCCTCCATGCCCGGCTAATTTTTGTATTTTTTTTTTTTTTTTTTTTTTTAGTAGAGATGGGGTTTCACCATGTTGATTAGACTGGTCTCGAACTCCTGACCTCATGATCAGCCCGCCTCGGCCTCCCAAAGTGCTGGGATTACGGGTTGAGCCACCGTGCCCAGCCCCATAATATCCTCTTCTTATAAAGACATCAATCTTATTGGATTAGGGTCTGCTCTAATGATCTCATTTTAACTTAATTACATCTTTAAAGATCCTAACTCCATGCACATTCGTAAATACAGTCACATCCTGAGGTACTGGGCATTAGGACTTCAACATATGAACATTCTGGCAACATAATTCAGCCTATAACACTCATCGAATTCTGTCTTGGCATCTGCTTTTCGGATGCCAGGTTAATCTAGGAGTATAACCAGGTAAAGCATTGGTGTGCCAAATGACCAGTGACTCATCTCTTCCCACCCCAGTCTGCTTCTATAAATCCAATTACAAAAGTAATAATGAATAGACAAAACATGGAAAAAACATGTTTCAAATATGAAATAAATCTCCAGTTTTTTGGAGGTAATCCCTAATCCCTTGGCAATTTGTAATAGGGATTATTATAACACAGAAAACTGTAAGTGACAGAAACAAAAAAGACACTTCCTATCAGTGGTTCCTCTCAGTGGGGCAGATGACCCTCAAGTCAGTGGTACTTCAAGTGTGGCAGACACAAGGCAAGCCTCAGATCTGTGCCTTTGAGCCTGACACTGGATCCCATCACCAGCACAGGAACAGTCCTCTACAGCCAAGGTGGCCAATGCAGACTTTAAAAAGGTTGGGTTGGCATGCGAGTAAAAAATAAACTCTAGCAGAGATTTGGTAATTCTGTCATTTGTTGGCTGACATTTTAATATTATTGTCAGTTTCTTAGGCATATTTTGCTTCAATGAGTAGGAAAAATGTTTTAATTAGTGCCCTTTGTTTATAATTTTCGTCTTTCATATCCATGGAAAATTCCAATGTCTTCCGTCTTCATAATTTCTGGGGGTTTGGCAGAGTACCAGACCAGCAACTGTTTCAATAGAGAGGAATCGCCTCTCTCAAAACACATTTTATTGCTTGGGAGATTGCTCTTCATTAACACAACCAGGAAAATACTGATAAGATCCTTCGAGTTTTGGGCTATCCCACTCAGAATAGATATTTGTTTTTCCTGTCACCCATTTTCTTAAGCATTAGTCAATATGGGAGCCTACTGTATGTAAAATTCCTTACTGAACAGGATTGGGTTTGCTTGAGTGATAAAAAATAGAGATAGTCTTTGTACACAGAATGTGGTTTTATTTTATTTATTGAAATCAGAATCTTCTAACTTCACTAGGGTGATCTGTTTGTGTTCATATGTGTGTGTGGCAGAGTATATACTATAACATAAAATTTTTCATCTTATCCATGTTTAAGCGTATAGTTCTGAAGCATTAATTACGTTCACAATGTTGTGCAACCAACAACACCATCAATTTACAAAACTTTTTATCACCCCAAACAGAAACACTGTAACCTTTAAACTTTAAACTCTCTATTCTCCACTTCTCCCAGCTGCTGGTGAGCTCTCATCTATTTTCTATCTCTACACATTTGCCTAGTCTGGATATTTCATATAAAGTGGAATCATACACTATTTGTCCTTCTGTGTCTGGCTTATTTCACTTGCCCTAATGTTTTAAAAGTTCATCTGTATTGTAGCATGTATCAGAACTTCATTTTTCATGGCTGAATAATATTCCTTTGGATGTATATACCACATTTTGTTTATCCATTCATCTGTTGATGGACAGATCAACAGATCTGTTGATTTGAGTTGTTTATACTTTTTGGCTCTTGTGAATAATGCTGCAATGAATATTGGCAGATGAGTATCTGTTTGAGTCCCTGTTTTCAATTCTTTTGGATATACACCTAAAAGTGAAATTGCTAGGGCATATAGTAGTACTATGTTTAGCTTTTTGAGGAACCACCAAACTGTTTTCCACGGCAGCTGCACCACTTAGCATTTTCATCAACAATGTATAAGCGTCCCAATTTCTATGCATCCTCACCAGCACTTGTTATTTTCTGTTTTTGTTTTGTTTTATAGCCATCTAGTAGGTGTGAAGTGGTATCTCACTGTTTTGATTCACATTTCCCTTAATGGCTAGTTTTATTAAGCATCTTTTCACATGCTTGTTAGCCACTTATTTATCTTTGGGAAAATGTCTAGTCAAGTTCTTTGCCCAATTTTCTAATTGAGTGGTTTTTTGTTGTTGAGTTGTAAGAATTCTTTATATAGTCTGGATCCTAGACACCAGATATATGATTAGCAAATAATTTCTTCTATTCTATGTTTTCTTTTCAAGTTTCCAATAATGTCCTTTAAAGTTTTAAATTTTGATGAAGTCTAATTTATCTAGTTTTTCCTAGAGATGTCGCCATATCTAAAAATCCACTGCTGGCCCAGTGCAGTGGCTCATGCCTGTAATCCCAGCACTTTCAGGGGCTGAGGTGGGCAGATTATTTAAGCCCAGGCGTTCAAGACCAGCCTGGGCAGAATGGTGAAACCTTGTCTCTACAAAAAATACAAAAAAATTAGCTAGTGAGGGGGCATGCACCTGTGGTTCCAGCTACTCAGGAGGCTGAAGCAGGAGGATCGCCTGAGCCTGAGTGGTAGAGGCTGCAGAGAGCTGTGATCATGCCACTGTGCTCCAGCCTGGGCAACAAAGAGAGATCTTGTCTCAAAAAAAAAAAAAAAATCTTTGCTGATCCATTGCATAAACCTGAGATTACGAAGATTTACTCTTATGTCTTATTCTAAAAATTTAATATTTTTAGCTCTTATATTTAGGTTGTTCATCCATTTGAGTTAATTTTTGTGTATGGTGTGAAGTAGGAATCTTAACTCCATTCCTTGGCTTATGGATATCCAGTTATCTCAGTACTAGTTTTTGAGAGGAAGATTCTTTCCCCCATTGAATGGTCCTGGCATCTTCGTGAAAAATTAATTGGCCATCAATTTATGGAATTCTTTCTGGAGTCTCAAATTTATTCCACCGGTATACATGCCTTTTATTCTACCAATACCACACTGCTCTGAATACTGTATCTTTGTAGTGACTTTTGAAATCAGCAAGTATGAGTCCTCCAACTGCGTGTTCTTTTTTATTTTTTGAGACAGAGTCTCCGTCTGTCGCCCAGGCTGGAGTGCAGTGGCGTGATCGTGGCTCACTGCAGGCTCCGCCTCCTGGGTTCACGCCATTCTCCTGCCTCAGCCTCTTGAGTAGCTGGGACTACAGGTGCCCTCCACCGTGCCTGGCTAATTTTTTGTATTTTTAGTAGAGACGGGGTTTCACCATGTTAGCCAGGACGGCCTCGATCTCCTGACCTCGTGATCCCCCCACCTTGGCCTCCCAAAGTGCTGGGATTACAGGCATGAGCCACCGTGCCTGGCCCTGTGTGTTCTTTTTCGACATTGTTTTGGCTGTTTGGGGCCCCTTACACTTCCATATGAATTTGAGCATTGGTTTTTGGTTTTTCGATGTCCATAAAAAGATCATTGGCATTTTGATGAGGACTGCATGGAGTCTCAGATTTGAATATTGACATCTTAACAATATCAAGCCTTCTAATCCGTGAACATACATGTCTTTCCATTTATTTAGGTGTTCTTTCATTTCATTTAGTAATGTTTTGTAGTTTTCAGGTACAAGTCTTGTACATCCTTGGTTAAATTTATTCCTAACTATTTTATTCTTTCTGATGCTAATGTAAGTGGAATTATTAAAATCCATCTCTTTAAATGTAACGGTTGATGACTTTTAGTAAATTCATACTGTTGTGCAACCTTCCACACAATCTAGTTTTAGAGCACTTGCATCAGGTTTCCCTTGTGTCTATCTGTGGTCAATATCTATTCTCACCTCCCCAACCCCAGGCAACTTCTGATATGTTCTCTGTCTTTATAGCTTTGCTTTTTCTATACTTGTGTATTAATCCTTTCTCATGCTGCTAATAAAGACATACCTGAGACTGGCTAATTTATAAAGGAAAGAGGTTTAATTGACTCACAGTTCAGCATGGCTGGGGAGGCCTCAGGAAACTTATAATCATGGCGAGAGGGGAAGCACACATGCCCTTCTTCACATGGCAGCAGGAAGGAGAAAAATGAGTACCAAGGGAAGGGGGAAGCCCCCTATAAAACCATCAGATCTCGTGAGTACTTACTCACTATCACGAGAATAGCATGGGGGAAATGGCACTCATGATTCAATTACCTCCCACTGGGTCCCTCCCATGACACGTGGGGATTATGGGAGCTACAGTTCAAGATGAGATTTGGGTGGGGACACAGACAAACCACATCAACCCATCAGATAAGCAGGTCCTTACATTTATATAAAATGCAGTTACACACAACAAGATGAGATTTGGGTGGGGACACAGTCAAACCCTATCAACCCATCAGATAAGCAGGTCCTTACATTTACGTAAAATGCAGTTACAAACAACACACCATCTCCTTTTCATTCCTTTTTTCTCTCTCTTACCCAGAACACAAAACACTCATATATTTTTGTTTGTCTAGATCCTGGCCTGTCCAAGTAACCTCACCTTTTAGATCATCAACTAGTTAACAAATGACAAAATCTTGGTTCACCTTTAGGTCAGAAGATGCCATGAGCCAGGCTAGCCAGAGCAGACTCTGATTGGCTTAGTTCTGGAGGGGTTTAGGTCATAATCCCCCAAAACACAATCCTAATGCCATAATCTCAAAAGTTGAAATCTCAAAAAGATCAAAATCACTAAAGCCTAAGATCCCTAACATATAAAATCCTGAAAAGCACAATCACAGGCTAGTTGCATCATGTTAGGTGGAACTATTGCCTTGTTATTGTCTTTATGTAGAAGAAAATAGATTTCAATGGAATCCCCAAACCATAATGACAGATTTGGAATTTGGGGCAATCAAGTCTTCTAAAAATGAATTTCAATGTGTTACCAATACAATTTGTTTTTTCCATTCAGCCCAATGCATTAGTGGGAAGTTCAGATGAATGGATTGGCCGCAAGATACGGCAATGATGAAAACTTCAGTTTAAAAATTCGTAATTTGCCCACATTGGCATTCCTTCCAGTTGATGACATTCCAGGAGCTTCTAGTTAATTAAAGCCACATTTGCCTGAAAAAGCCAGTGAAGTTACAGACTAGTTTGAAAATAATTATGTGCATGGTAGGGTAAGAAGACTCTTATGCAACACTTAGGATAAGATGGCGTTGCTGTTTGATCAACAGGATTGTTTCCACCAAATTTGTGGTCTGTATATGAGTGCATGCAGAATGGATCTCTGTGTACTCAAAACAACAAAGAAGCATGGCACAGAAGTGACAAAATTTCATAGAGAATGCTCATATCAGTGTATATGGAATAAGAAGAATTTTTAAAAAGAGCAGCACCAAACAGAAAATGAATGTGAACATTGTGTTAGACCATTTTGTGTTGCTACAAATGAATATCTGAGGCTGGGTAATTTATAAAGAAAGGAGGTCTAATTGGCTCATAGTTCTGCAGGCAGTACAGGAGGCGTTGTAACAGTATATGCTTCCATTGAGGGCCACAGGGAGTTTACAATCATGGCAGAGGGCAAAAGGGGAGCTGGTGTATCACACGGTGAGAGAGGGAGCAAGGGTGGAGAAGGTCCAAGATTTTCTCACATGAACTGAGTAAGAACTCACTTACTACCAAGGAGATGGTGCTGAACCATTCTTTTTTTTTTTTTTTTTTTTTTTTTTTTTGAGACAGAGATTCGCTCTGTCACCCAGGCTGGAGTGCAGTGGCACGACCTCGGCTCACTGCAAGCTCTGCTTCCCGGGCTCAAGCCATTCTCGTACCTCAGCCTCCCAAGTAGGTAAGATCACAGGCATGCGCCAGCACACCTGGCTAATTTTTGCATTTTTAGTAGAGGCGGGGTTTCACCATGTTGGCCAGGCTGGTCTCAAACTCCTGGCTTCAAATGATCTGCCCGCCTTGGCCTCCCAAAATGCTGGGATTACAGGTCTGTGCCACAGCACCAGCCAGTAAATAAAACTTTAAAAAATAATTTTAAAATTATTTTTTCCAGAATTATATTTTCAGAATTTTGATCTTACAGGATTTCAACATTTGGGATGATGGCTTTCAGGATTGTGTCTTTCAGGATTATAATCAGCTCCCATTCTGGAGAAAACGCCAATATCTGTGAGTATTCCTGCAAATAGATAAGGCTTGTGAGTGTGTGCTGAGCTTCTCTTGGACAAATCTATTGCAGAGAGAGACTTAGTAGAACTGAGGAACTGTTATGGGGTTTTTTCACTTTGTTGAAAATAAAAAATTAGAGACATTGTTCAGCTACTCTTCAGAATCCATTAGAATCTGCTATGTGTTGTTAGCTTATTAGAATTAAGGCATATTGTGGCCCGGCGTGGTGGCTCACGCCTGTAATCCCAGGACTCTAGGAGGCCGAGGCGGGTGGATCACTTGAGGCCAGGAGTTGGAGATCAGCCTGGCCAAATGATTAAACCCTGTCTCTACTAAAAATACAAAAATTAGCAAGTCATGGTGGCATGCACCTGTAATCCCAGCTACTCGGGAGGTTGAGGTGGGAGAATCGCTTGAACCCAGGCGGGGGAGGTTGCAGTGAGCCGAGATCCAGCCTGGGAGACAGAGTGGGATCCTGTCTGAAAAAAAAAAAAAAAAAAAGAATAAAGGCATATTGTGAGAGAGGATCAAAAAGTTGTGTGAAATGCGAGGTTGCATTATTGCAAGGTGAATAAAATGAGGCTGGTGGAGGATGGGAGCCAATCACAAATTTCCAATATTGCGATTGGAACACAGCTCCACATCCAAACCTAAACCTTCTGAAGGATCGCCCAGGCCCTGTAATAACTACAGTTTTCTACACTCCACCTTCCCCTGGTAGCCTTTTTTTGACAGTCCCTTTGAATTCCCAAGACAACTTATTTGTATTTTTTCTCAACCATTCTTTTAAGGAGGGCCAACCCATGGCTAACAGTGACTCAAAGTGCTTTCATTAGCTCAGATAAAAAGCTCAGTTACTTTAACCTACTTCTTTCTGCCCTCTACAAAGGCAATTCAAGGCTCAGATGTTACTAGAAGTTACTGGGCATTTTCCTATACAAAAGAATAAGAACACCAGGTTTCTTAGAATACACCAAAAACCTCTTCTCCTGGGGTTTTTTATACTGTTTAAAGGGTGGGAAATGGGGTCATATTTTCAGCTGTGGTGAGGGACAGAGAGCCTGGAAATTTGGCTTGAAATTCATGGGGAAAATACTGAGCCCAAATGTATTTGAGTTATTGTTGTATTGTTGTTAGCTCTGTAAGACACAGTAAATATTTACTGAGGGCCTACTTTGTGCCAGGCACTGTTCTAGGTGCTGGAATACCTAGATTTTTGTGTTCTAGCAGTGAACAAAACACAAAAATCCCCAGTCTTCTTTCATCCTAGTGGGAGAAGACACACAATGAAGAAAATATATAAATGAGATATAAGTGATATATGGTGAGGAGTGTTATGGAGAAAACAGAAACAGGAAGGAGGATGGGAAGTTCTGAGTGAGGGAGGATGAGCAATGGCTGTGATTTTAAACACAACGGTCATGGAAGGCTTCACTTAGAAGGTGCAAAGTGAGGAACCAATGGAAAGAGATGATGGAGCAAGTCATGCCAGCATCTGGGGTAATGAGCAGGCTGGGTAGAAGGAACTGAAAGGGCAAAGGCCCTGAGCTGGGAGCAGGGCTGGCGTGATAACCACAGAGGGCCAGGGAGGCTGGAGGGTAGAGGAAGAGAGAAGTGGGAGATGAGGCATAGGGACGTAGAAACCATTATGATGACCTTCACTATTTTCCAGAGGGAGATGTAAGCCATTGGAGGCTTTGAATAGAGGAGGGACATAAATTTAGTCTTAACTTTTTCTCCAGCTGTTCAGTTGATTGCATGAGATAAAATACTTAGCACCATGCTGGACACATAATGTATCAGTGAATGTTTGTGTATTACAAATGCATTCATTCAGTTGAAATGCAATTCAAATGTATCCTTGAATTTAAATTTGGAATATTTCCCCACATAACTCTGTAGCCCTGGGACGCCATCTTCTTTAATGCCTGGACAAGTTGAGAACATTCAGCCATCCATTCATTTACTAAATATTTATTATTGCGTATCTAAAATGTGCCAAGTAGTGTTTTAAGCACTGGGGACAAAGTGGTGAGTGAATAGGCTAGAAAAGATTCATACCTGAAGGAGGTCTTCTTTTTTTTTTTTTTTGAGATGGAGTCTCACTCTGTCGCCCAGGCTGGAGTGCAATGGCACAGTCTTGGCTCACTGCAACCTCTGCCTCCCAGGTTCAAGCGATTCTCATGCCTCAGCCTCCTGAGTAGCTGGGATTACAGGCATGCACCACCACATCCAGCAAATTTTTGTATTTTTAGTAGAGACTGTGTTTCACCATGTTGGCCAGGCTGGTCTCGAACTCCTGATCTCAGGTGATCCGCCCACCTCTGCCTCCCAGAGTGCTGGGATTACAGGCGTGAGCCACCATGCCTGGCCTAAGGAGGCTTTCATTCGAGTGGTGGGAGGACAGGCAATGAACAGTAAATATAAACACACACACATGTACACACACACAGATATATATATATAAAATGTCAGGTTGTGATATGTGCTAAGAAGATAAAGAAGGTCAGGGGAAACTGAGAGGCAGAGGGAAAGTCTGTTTTAAATGGAATGATAGTGATGTACTTCTTTATCTCAATAGTATTTGTTGAATTGTCTGTACGGGCAAAGCACTGTCCTGGGTTCTAAAGCATCCTCTGTATATTTCCAGCCCACAAGAGACTTAGAATCTGTGGGAGGCAGAATTCTAAGGTGATCCCTAAGATTCCTGTCCCTTGGTGTACCTGCCCTGCATAATCCCTAAGACTTTGCATATGAAGCAATAATCACTTCTGTGATGAGGCGATGTTCCACCGCACAGCTGGCTCTAAGAAAGGAGACTCCCTGGGCCAGGCATGGTGGCTCACGCCTGTAATCCTAGCACTTTGGGAGGCCGAGGTGGGTGGATCATGAGGTCAGGAATTGGAGACAAGCCTGGCCAACATGGTGAAATCGCATCTCCACTAAAAATACAAAAATTAGCCGGGCGTTGTGGCATGCACCTGTAATCCCAGCTATTCAGAAGGCTGAGACAGGAGAATCACTTGAACCCGAGAGGTGGAGGTTGCTGTGAGCTGAAATCACACCACTGCACTTCAGCCTGGGCGACAGAGTAAGAAAAAAAAAAAAAAAGAAAGAAAGAAAGAAAGAAAGGAGACAACCTGGGTGAGCCCGACCTAATCAGGTGAGCCCGTATAAGAGATGAGCCTTGTCCTAAGGAAGACATTTGAAGCAGGACAGGAATGTGATGCCAGGGAGTTTCTACACTGCTGGCTCTGAAGATGGCTGTCTCCACAGGATAAGGACCTGCAAACAGCCTCTAGGAGCTGACAGCAACCCTAATTAACAGCCACCAAGACAGGGACCTCAGTCCTTCCACCACAAGGAACTGAATTCTGCCAGCAACCTGCATGACTTTAGAAGTGGATTCTTCCTTAGTCAAGTCTCCAGACCAGAATGCAGCTCAGCTCAACTCAAGCATGTTGTACTTGGACTTTGGACCTACAGAACCATGAGATAATGAATGAATGAATGAATGAATGAATGAATGTTACTTTCAGCTGATAAATTTACGGTAATCTATTATGCGGCAATAGAAAACCAATATAGATTCTAATAAAAAGATATTTTAAAAATCAGCATCTGTAATACAAAGGGCACTCACAACGAGTGGGATGATCTTTGCTTTTTGAATGACAAATGGTGAATGATGAGGTGGCTTGTAGGCAGACACAAACAAAATCTAGTTTAAAAGGAGCACATCTGATTTCTCTACTTATAACTTGATTATCTTGTCGTTACCTTACTTAAACTCTCCATGGGTGCCCACTGCCTATGGGAGTTGACACTTTTGAGTTTAACATTCATTCCAGCTCTTCCGTCATCTCCAGACCCTACTATTCCAAACTCATCTCTTATTGACTTTCTGACTCATTAAATGTTGACCTTAGCAATCCGCTGTCCTTTACATGGTCCAGAATACCTCCTTCTTCATCATGTTACGCCAGTCTTTCAGCCCAGAATAGAGCAGAATCATCACAGACAAGACGAGCCATGGAATGGCAAACATTTTAATGCTGGCGCCTATCCACCGAGTCTCTAGAGATGCTGGAATTATGATAAATTTCAGAATGCCGCAATCCCAGCAGGCCACCTCCTTGCCAAAAGTATTTAATGGGTTCCTATTTTCATATTTCAAATCAGATCGTCAGCCAGGTAATCAAAATCTTCCAAGATATGACCCCACAAAACACCCTTCCAAAACTATTTCCTATTACATTGCCCCATAGCCCATATCTTTTATTTACATGGCACTGACTTTGCCATCTGTTTTTTGCTCAGGCTGGTCACTGTTTCTGGAATGTCCCTCCCTTTTTTACTGATTAGTCAAATTCTGAGGCCCAAAGAGGTTCAGTAACTTGCTCAAAGTCACAGAATTTGGGTGAATATCACTTTTTCCAGTCTTGAGCAAGTAACTGGATCTCTTTGAACCTCAGTTTTGTCACTTGTAAAATGGGGCATATGAAAATATCTACCTTGCGGTATTTCCCACCATGAAATAATTTACTTGGTGATAGAAATGGACTTTCTCATACTTGTATTTCCTTTGGCTCTTAACGTGGTGTCTCACAAATCATATAGCTCAAAAAATGCCAATGGAATGAAATTCCCTGAATATTTTTGAATCATGCTGTTAAGTTCCTTAGTCTTTTCAATTTTTTCTTTGAGACGGGAGTCTCGTTCTGTCTCCCAGGCTGGAGTGCAGTGGCACGATCTCGGCTCACTGCAACCTCCGCCTCCCAGGTTCAAGTGATTCTCCTGCCTCAGCCTCCCCAGTAGCTGGGATTACAGGCACCCGCCACCATGCCTGGCTAATTTTTGTATTTTTAGTAGAGACAGGGTTTCGACATGTTGGCCAGGCTGGTCTCAAACTCACTACTGACCTCAGGTGATCCACCCGCCTTGGCCTCCCAAAGTGCTGGGATTACAGGCGTGAGACACCATGCCCTACCAGTCTTTTCAATTTTTAAACTTCATTGCTTTTCAAGTCACAGTGAAACTATTTGGATTCCTTTCCTTCTTAAAATGAATACTTATTCCATGGATGTAGGCATTTTAATGCCTTTTAATTTTTCCTTTTTTTTTTGTTTTGGAGATAGAGTCTCGCCGTGTTGCCCAGGCTGGATTGCACTGGCGTGATCTTGGCTCACTGCAGCCTCCACCTCCCGGGTTCAAGCGACTCTTGTGCCTCAGCCTCCTGAGTAGCTGGGACTACAGATGTGGACCACCACACCAGCTAAAGTTTTTTGTATTTTTAGTAGAGACAGGGTTTCACCATGTTAGCCAGGCTGGTCTCGAACTCCTGACCTCAAGTGATCCGCCTGCCCCAGCCTCCCAAAGTGCTGGGATTACAGGCGTGAGCCACCATGCCTGGCCTTTTTCCTTCTTTTTCTCCAGGCATGTGTTACTTTCTTAGAGGCCTAGGAGCATTTTTGTCAGGAACTATTGAAATAATTTCCACGTGGGAGCCTTCTGGTTTCAAAGAAGGAGAGTGTTTACACAGAAGCTGTCTGGTTTCAGGAAAAAAGCCAAGTGGTGTTTTTTAATATTAGGGGAAATTTGCCTCTCCTTGCTTTTTTTTAAAAAGAAAGAAACCAAAAGCTTGTTTAAACAGGTTCATAGAGGATTGTTTCTGATAAGCATTTATTTTATGTGGTAAACTGATTTTGTTGTAGGGGATGGTTTAAACAGAGACAAATAGTGTGTCTCTAGCTGGTGGGTGGCTCTGTAATGAACACGCTCAAATGCTTAGAATGAATGGAGCTCAGGCATACTGGGAAATGCACGAGAGTTGGGTTTATGTTTTGATTTTGTTTTTATAGGTTTTATGATTTTGGGAAACTCCAAACCTGTTGTCTTCTAAAGTAGAAATAAGGCTGGGTGCAGTGGCTCACATCTATAACCGCAGCACTTTGGAATGCTGAGGCGGGCAGATCACTTGAGTGCAGGAGTTCAAGACCAGCCTGGTTAATGTGGCGAACCCCATCTCCACCAAAAATACAAAAAAAATTTAGCCAGATGGGGGTAATGTGCACCTGTGGACCCAGCTACTCAAGAGGCTGAAATGGGAGGATTGCTTAAGCCTGGGAGGCGGAGAGTCCAGTGAACCAAGATTGTGCCACTGCACTCCAGCCTGAGTGACAGAGTGAGACCCTGTCTCAAAAAAAAAAAAAAAAAAAAAAGTAGCCACCTATCCCAAGTATATCATAGACTTATAAAGATCAGGGGAGAAAAATAAATTTAGAATCATTTTGAAGAACGAAATGATATAAAATATGAAGAAGTACTATAAAGCCTAAATTTGCCAAATTCTAATGCCCACAAATTCTGTTTGAAAATAGGTAGGATACAAATAATACATAAATACTGCCTGTACATAGCTTAAGAAAGACTAGTATACAATTATTTAACAAAAGGAGATAATCTATAGTGTTGGTTTATAATAAAATATGGAATAATAAGATATATAAGGTACCAAAATTCTCAGTTCATCTTATAGGCAAGTATTTTGCTGATTTTTTTTTTTTTTTTTTTTTGAGATGGGGTCTTGCTCTGTCACCCAGGCTGGAGTGCAGTGGCATGATCTCAGATCACTGCAACTTCTGTCTGGGTTCAAGCAATTCTCCCGCCTCAGTCTCCCTAGTAGTTTGGATTACAGGCATGCACCACCACGCCCTGCTAATTTTTGTATTTTTAGTAGAAACAGGATTTCTCCATGTTGGCCAGGCTAGTCTAGAACTCCTGACCTCAGGTGATCTGCCTGCCTCGGCCTCCCAAAGTGCTGGGATTACAGGTGTGAGCCACTGCACCTGGCTTTGCTGAATTTTTTTTTTTTTGACAGATGGCAATAGGTCATAGTCATAAAGATATTTTCATTGAAGTTTGACAAATTGTGTATCCTATATTACTAAAGCTTTTGAAGGAGCTCATAATTGTAATTATAGTTTGCTCAGCTCACCTGGGTTTACGTAGAATACAGTTGCCATATTTTATTCTTTTTTTTTTTTTTTTTTTGGAGTCAGGGTCTCTCTCTGTCCCCTAGGCTGGAGTGCAGTGGCACAATCTTGGCTCACTGAAACCTCTGTCTCCTGGTTTCAAGCGATTCTCATGCCTCAGTCTCCTAAGTATCTGGGATTACAGATGCCTGCCACCACACCTGGCTAATTTTTGTATTGTTAGTAGAGATAGGGTTTTACCATGTTGGCAAGGCTGGTCTCGAACTCCTGACCTCAGGTGATCCACCTGCCTCAGCCTCCCAAAGTGCAGGGATTACAGGCGTGAGCCACCAGGCCTGGCTTATTCTTTAATAAAGTAGTGCTATGTGAGTTTTCAACTTGGAAGATTATATGTAATCTTGGACTAGTTGGAATTTTTCTCTAAAGTCAGTAGTAGATAAGATAAGTAGATAAGACTGGAAGATTCTGAAACAATAATATTCGTTTCTTCCAATCTTATTAACTAACCGTTATGAAGTTGTGGTAAGAAGCCTCTAAGATGCCCCCCAATGCCCTCCACCTCCTCGTTCATATCCTGGTATAATTCCCTCCTCTTGTGTGTGGGCTGGGCTTATTGACTCACCTCTAAGGAATAAAATACAGCAGAAGTGATAGGATGTCACTGTGCGATTATGTTATAAAAAGACTATGGCTTCCTTCTTTGCCACACTCTCTCTTGACCTCTCTCAGATTTCTAATCCTGAAGGAAGCTGGGTGCCATGTTGTGAGGTCTCTGTATGGAGAGGCCCATCTGGTGGGAGATTCTGGTCAGCTAATAAACACACGAGGGAGCCTGGAAGCAGCCATCCTCACTACCACCATCCCATCCCCGCTCCAGTTGAGACTTCAGATGAGACCCCATGATGATCTGATAGCTTAACTGCAACCTCATGAGAGATCTTAAGCCAGAGGCACTCAACTAAGCTGCTCCTGAATTCCTAATCCACAGAAATTATGAAGTAATACACGTTTGTTGTTTTAAGCCACTAGGTTTTGGGGTAATATTTTATACAGCAATAGATAACTCATACTAAAGCCCTGTTTACGTTTCATACATCAATATGTAAAGATACATGTTTAAAAAGAAATGTTATCATCACTAACAACAACAAAGGTTTACTAATATCAAGTAGTTCAGGACAATCAAATGAAAAGGGAGAAAATTAAAGACATTTTACTTTTTATTTTTTAGGAGACAGAGTTTCACTCTTGTCACCCAGGATGGAGTGCAATGGCAAGATCTTGGCTCACTGCAACCTCTGCCTCCCGGGTTCACGTGATTCACTTGCCTCAGCCTCCCGAGTAGATGGGACCATAGGTGTGCACCACCATGCCGGGCTAATTTTCTTTTTTTTATTAGAAACAGGGTTTCACCATGTTGCCCAGGTTGGTCTTGAACTCCAGACCGCAGGTGATCCACCCGCCTCGGCCTCCCAAAGTGCTGGGATTATAGGTTTGAGCCACTGTGCCAGCCTTAAAGACATTTTAAATTGAGAAATATGAGATCTCTGAGATTATAACTTTAGGAACTTCCATTAAAATTAGGGATGCTGTTGTCTATATCGTATCTGGCATATTGCCAAATTGTTATGCCTATATCCAACTGCAGCAATATTGCCAGCTTTCCAACTTCAGATCAAAACTTTCAGAGAAAGAAAGCTGTAAATAACAGGATATTAAAATGAAATTCTCTATGGCTTGATTTCAAGCAAGCTCCCTAAAGCTGAGAACAATGCAGTAGTACCAAGTATCTCTCAGATGATACAGGCAGATGCTGGTCTAGCCATGCAGGGCACGTTAAGAGGAAAAAAAAAAAGACCGGTATGGTGACTCATGGCTGTAATACCAGCACTTTAAGAGGCTGAGGTGGGAGGATAGCATGAGCTCAGGAGTTCAAGTCCAGCCTGGGCAACATAGTGAAACACCATCTTTACAAATAATAAAACAATTAACTAGGCATGATGGTGCGTGCTGTGGTTCCAGCTACTTGGGAGGCTGAGGTAGGAGAATGACTTAAGCCCAGTGTTGGAGGCAAGGGTCAGGGGGTTGAGGCTGCAGTGAGCCAAGATCATACCACTGCACTCCAGCAGACAAAGCAACAGAGCAAGACCTAGCATCAAAAAAATTTTTTTATTAAAAAAAATTGGCTGGGCGCAGTGGTTCACACCTGTAATCCCAACCCTTTGAGAGCCCAAAGTGGGTGGATCCCTTGAGCCCAGGAGTTCGAGACCAGCCTGGAAAACATGGTGAGACCCTGTCTCTACAAAAAATAAACAAAAATTAGCTGAGTGTGGTGGCATGCGCCTGTGGTCCCAGCTACATGGGAGACTGAGGCAGGAGGATTACCTGAGTCTAGGAGGTTGAGGCTGCAGTGAGCCAATATCACACCACTGCACTCCAGCCTGAGTGAAAGAGCGAGACCCTATCTCAAAATGAAAAAAGAAAGAAAGAGAGAGAGAGTGAGAGAGAATCAGAAACCAGTCATGCCTACATTAGCCTATCACAGACACCTACTTTTTCAAGATGGAATTTTGATAATCAGTAGTAGAGGGAGGATCTTTGTGAGAATTTTCAGTGTGCTGGGTATCCCACTCCCACAGGTGGGAAAAGGATGCACTTCAAAGGAAGTTTCTAGAGAACCACTTGTGGGGACTGGTGTCCCACTCTTGCCAAGTGAGAGGTGGCTGGGACTGCTTCTGCCTCGCAGTGAAGACAGAATGCCTCAAAGGCCCGTTGCATTTCCACTGCATTTTACTAGGACCTGGATATGAAGGCAGCTGGCCTGGAATTTGCTTAAACATGACTTTTCCCAAGACACCTGCCTCGAGGGACAGTGCCGCCCAGGCAGACGGGTGGACACAGGAAGCCAAGGGGTCAAGAGAAATCAGGAAAGGCATAATTTCTCCATCAAAGAGTAAGTGGGCAACTCTCTGGAAAGCCTGAGAAAGCTCACCAAGAGAGCAGGCATCTGCCATCCGGAGGGTACAAGCAGCAGGACCCCAGCCATCCAGCTGAGTCAAGCTGTGCCCTTTCCCTGAATCCCCTCTTCCCAGGACCCAACCCTGCAGGGGTTACAAACAGCAGCTATAAAGTGGGAAGCAAGAGGATTGGGAAAAGAGAAAAGAAACTGATGATACTCTCAATTCTGCCTGCCAGTGTGGCCAGGTCCAAAGTGGAGAAGGGAAGAAATCTTAATTGGATAAAGATTTGGAGTTAATTGGAGTTCTGATTTTTATCCTGGACTGGATTGGAATTATATGATTATGAAACAGACTTTATTTGTTAATACCCAAACAAGGGGCTTTTCATTTATTTTCCAGGGATGACTGGAAAAGCCATGGAATGTGCTCATGATCCTATCCTGGGGCAAGGAAGAATTAGACCATGGAGTGATTTGAAGAGGCCATGGAAGAAAAAAAATAAAGTTATTTTATGCTTATAAGCCCAGCTAAGTCCAGCTCATTCAATGAAATGATTGTAAGCATTTATGGAAAGAAGAAAGGGAGAGGTCCTCCTGCCAGGAACCCGCCTCTAGCCACAGAGGATAGCGATCACTAAAGATAAGGGTTTTCCCAGTGAAGAGCTTTGGAAATGTTTCCCTTGACTAGAAATGATACTGACCCCAAGGTTCAGGCCCACCAGAGAACAGTGGGAACAATAGTTTATCTCCTTGAGTAATGAGAAGGATTCCAGTTTTCAGGTGAGCTGGGCCTCTTTCCAGGTTGTCCAGAGCCTTTTAAGTCTAAAGCCCACATCAGTGTTTTCAAAAGTGTTTCCACAAAGCATGACACCCACAGATTATGAATAGGCATTACCAAGGAAAACAGGGTTCCATGGTTTAAAAGTTTGAACAATGTGGGCTGGGAGTGATGGTTCATGCCTGTAATCCTAGCACTTTAGGAAGGCAACATGGGAGGATCAGTTGAGCTAAGGAGTTCAAGACCAGCCTGGGCAACATAGTTAGACCTTGTCTCTTTAAAAGAAAAAAAAAATTAAGTTTGAAAAATGCTGTTAAATAAAACTAAACAGTTGTCTTTCCTGCAGGACTTATCAGAGCCTCAGCATGCTAAGGTATATTGGTCATGCTTCTATAATAATTGTTCATTTCCTGCAGCTTGTTTTGCTACAGGACACTTTAGTTTGTTCCTAGGAATGCTCTGGAGTGGTTGGAAGTGCACTTCACTCCCCGTGCAATGCCCTCCTCCTGCTTCTGTCAGCATCAGTGACTACAGCCTTTAGTGTTCTCAGGTGTATTTCTGAAACCATTCCCCGTGATCTCTAACTCCAGGGAAGGTTGTCGAGTTATTTGAGTGCTCCTCTTGACTGCCAATTCTACTCAGCTTCAGATAAAGAAGAAAACCCTCTTTGCCTTCTCCTCTGGAGAGGGTATTGGAAATTTACTATACATTGAAAATTTCTCCAAGGTATGTCACTTCCCCCAGCCTCTTCTACCATAACTCTTTTGTACCCGGGGGGTGGACTAATACCAGTTTTTAGATCTCTCTGTGTACCCTGCAGTGGTGGCTGTAGCAGGTGATTTTGGTGCCCTGCCCTGTGGTCCTCATGGCTGTTCACCCTTCTGACTCTGGGATTCCAGTGTTTGTTCTATGCAGTAAATCAATTGTTGTGATAAATGAATCCCATTTTATTCACACTCGACCTTTGTTATGTAATGTATGTTTAATGAAAATGAGTGTGGGTAGTTATAAAAATAATAATTACTATTTATTGAGTGATTAATATGTGCCAGTCATCTGCCACAAGCATTCTCTCAGTAATTAAAAATAGGTATTAATGCTTCCACACTACAGACAAGGAAAGTGAGGCTTAGGAGACTTAAATAACTCACGAGAAGGCACACACTGAGTGGATGTCTAGATCCAGCTGCCTATTCTCATATGCACTGTTCCAGTCTCACCAGAGCATCACAGTGTATCAGACTCTCATTGTCTGAGGTATACCCAAAGTTCTTTGTCCCACTGAGAGGTGAAGCCAGCTAGATTTCCTGGGTCGAGTGGGGACTTGGAGAACTTTTCTGTCTAGCTAAAGGATTGTAAATGCACCAATCAGCACTCTGTAAAAACACACCAATCAGTGCTCTGTGTCTAGCTAAAGGATTGTAAACGCACCAATCAGCACTCTGTAAAAACACACCAGTCAGTGCTCTGTGTGTAGCTAAAGGATTGTAAACGCACCAATCAGCACTCTGTAAAATGGACCAGTCTGCACTCTGTAAAATGGACCAATCAGCACTCTGTAAAATGGACCAATAAGCAGGACATGGGTGGGACCAAATAAGGGACTAAAAGCTGGCCACTCCAGCCAGCCACGGCAACCTACTCGGGTACCCTTCTATGCTGTGGAAGCTTTGTTTTTCTGCTCTTCACAATAAATCTTGCTGCTGCTCACTCTTTGGGTCTGCACTACCTTTAAGAGCTGTTAACACTTGCCGCGAAGGTCCACGGCTTCATTCTTGAAGTCAGCGAGACCACCAACCCACTGGAAGGAAGAAACTCTGGACACACCATCTTTAAGAGCTGTAACACTCTCTGCGAAGGTCCACGGCTTCATTCTTGAAGCTGGTGAGACCAAGAACCCACTGCAAGGAATAAATTCCGGATACACCACGACCAAGAAAATTAAGGAGCGCAGACACCAAGGGTGAAGTTGGAGCATGAGTTTAATGAGCAAAAGAAGAAAACTCTCTGCCATGGAGAGGGGACCTGAAAGAGGG